>NC_000013.11:75226287-75377802 GCF_000001405.40 Homo sapiens | reverse complement strand
ATAGAAAGATCCTGGTTTAATATAGATAGATAAATGGATAGATAGATAGATGCACACACACATACTGATAAAGACCAATCAGAAAATATATATATATATAATATATATTTAAAAGACCAATCAGAATATTTATCTATATTATATATATAATATATATTTTTGGGTTGGTCTTTATCAGTGAAGTCATACTTGAATAGTTAGTAGAGTAACCGAATGTCTTGTTTTTGCTCATTTGTGTTTGAGGTATAGTTGTAGTGTCCATGGGATGGTGCAGTGGTATTTGCATCACATAATTGTTGCATGTGGGCCCTTTTGTTCCCATTGACTTTCAGGGCCATTTTGAAACCTGCATTAAAGAAAATTTCTGAGACATTTTCTTCTAGAAACAAGCATGGTGTTAGCAGATTCAAAGCATGGTGTTAGCAGAGAATCAGAAAATAATTTGTATATCAGACCTCTTCGTTCTATGGTTTTGGAGAACAAAGTCTCACAAGTAGCAGATGGCCCTAGCTGTCATTCACATAGAGCTCCAGCTTTCATAAAAAGGTATGTTTCCCGGATACAATCTGGGGCCTATTTGCCATTTAACGGCCTCACTCTGTTTGAAGTTTAAAGTTCTCCACTGTGCTGCGCCAACAGTTTTTGATATTTATTTAGCAGCTGGCTAGGAACTAGAGAATCTTGTGTTGCACTGAAGACTTGATGTTCACACTTTGAATCAGACAGAAAAATTTATATTATGGCTAATATGTACTGTTTATGAAGACAGAGATGTATATACATGCTCCAAATGATTAAAATGAAAAGTTGTAAACAACACAGTTAACCCTCAGTGGCTCGTAAATTTTTGTGACAGGATAAATGCTGGTTACACACGTGGTGCTATTCTCTGTGTTTGGCCTATTGGAATGCATTGATCTATATTTGTAAGCTGAAATGAAATTAAGAAATTTAATTTATATTATAGTTATTGATTAATTACATTGCTCTGTGACTGTACCAGAATAATACATACAGAAACATATTACTGGTTGAAGTAAGTTTTAGATGGTTACTTGTGGGTTATTGCCCTATTACTGTTTCTATAGAAATGTAAAAGTTTACTTAAAAGTCACCAGAAGGTCAGGTGCAGTGGCATATGCCTGTAATCCCAGAACTTTGGGAGGCTGAGGCCGGCAGATCACCTGAGGTCAGGAGTTCGAGACCAGCCTGGCCAACAAGGCAAAACCCCATCTCGTCTCTACTAAAAATACAAAAATTAGCCAGACATGGTGGCACATGCCTGTAATTCCAGCTACTTAGAAGGCTGAGGCAGGAGAATTGCTTGAGCCCGGGAGGCGGAGGTTGCAGTGAGCCAAGATCGCACCATTGCACTCCAGCCTGGGTGACACAGTGAGATTCCATCTCAAAAAAAAAAAAAAAAAAAATGTCACCAGAAGAACATGATTGTATTTGGAAAAGATATTTATAAATTTCAGTATGTCTGTAGATGCAGCTTAATGATATTACCATCAGATGTGCTTTGTTATCTTTGGGTGGAAAGGAATAGTCCTGTGACAGTCTTTGAAGGTTGATCATAAGATTTCTGGTTTTTTTGTTTGTTTTTTTTCAATTTCAGAAAGTTTTGAAACACCTAGTTCAGCCTTACTTTTCTTAAGGACATATCTCTGCAGCTTTGACTTGAGTTCTTTCTTTTTAGAAGCAATACGTAACTTAAATATTTTGACTTGCATTTATCCCCAGCTTTTCTTCGTTGAAGAGCTCTGATGTATTGCCTTGTCTCGAATGCATAATTGATCATTATGAAAAGAATACAGGTTGTTCCTGTTGTCTGTTCTTCCTTCTTCTCTAGTAACGGAATTTTGAACTAGGTAAATGGCTATCTAGAGTCAAGACTACATTTCCTAGCTTCTCTTGTTGCTAGGAGTGCACCTGCTTCTGGCCACTGGGGTGTAAGTAGATTTGTTTTGTGGCAGCTTGCTTAAGAAACCTTCCTTAAATAAGAGAGAATCCATTATGTGTGTGTGTGGGGGGGGTGGGGCAGTAGGGGAATGTCCTCTATTTCTTTTTCTTATTATTAATTCCTTCTTTGTATCCTGCTCCCTGGAATACAGTTGCAACTATTTTAAACCATGGAGTTGAGGTCCCCAAGACAGAGAAACAAGATAGAAGGCACCTGCACCTTTGATATTTAATGACAAGCGATGAAGTACCATGATGAAAACAGCCCCAAACCCCTAACTACACTTTCATGTTTCATGTGACAGGGAAATAAACTTCTGTTTTGTGTAATCAATTGCTATTTTGGGTTTCAGTCATTGCAGATGAACCCAATCCCAACGATTGGGTTCAACAGGTTATATATAACATTAACTGATTCTTTAACTACTGTGTTAATATATATTCTCCCAGAGTTGTGTACTGGTTAGAACTCTTAGACACAAGGGTGAAAACTATCACCTATGTGAAAGGACCCTGGGAGTGGCCCCCAGAATTGGAGGAGACGAAGAGCTCATTTACCACACCTCTAAGGATGTTCACAGCCAGGGACTGGACCCCACTAGGACTCTGTCTCTCCACATTTTGGATCTAATTTCATTTTCCTCTTGGTTTTATTTTGTTACTGCAGACTGCTCTCTGCAGTGAAGGAGTATGGTACCAGACTAATTTCCTTAATACTTGTGGCTTCAGATGGGACACAGCTGTGTCTTGTCTTCTGTTGTTGGAAAAATATTAGGGAGCAACTCACATTACCTGGTTTGGGTCACATGCCAGTTGCACCTCTTTACCTGTCACTGGACCAGCTTGGATTACTTGCAGTTTATTGTGGCTACTTTGGAGGCAGGTGGATGGGAAGATTGGACCTGGGGGAGGGTGCAAGGATTGGCAGCATCCACTGAAACCATTTGTTCTAAATGAAGTGGGTGCTGTTTTGACAAAACAGTGTCTATTATAGCTGATACGTCATTTATAGATGATTTACAATTGGGCTCATCTTATTCTTTCTTGAAAGCAGTCCATGTGTGAAAAAAAAATGAGGGCTGCGAGTTTGCTTTGAATTTGGTTTCTGACTTTGAAGTTGTGAAATTTGGCAAGACTGCAGCTCAGATAAATCCTTTGTTTGGGAGTTTTGATGAAAATTATTTCAGGCCCCATTATCACATTATACAGGCTAACTGTTAGGAACCACTGAACAGATTTCCTTATTTTCTTTGATCTTCAGTCTCATTGATTATAATGGAAGCACTGCTGTAATCATTAATCTTTTTAATGTAGACCTAAGGAGGTGTTTTGGATGTTAAAGAATTAAGGCTATTATGCCCTGAAAAATACTTTAGTGTCACAAATTCTACTTGAAATTCTAAGGTGAGCGCTTCTCTAAGGAGTTAAAATTTGACATTTAAGGAGTTAAAATTTTATGTATGTTTGACATACATAAAATTTGAGAAGTAAAAATTCTTTTGAAAGGGCTTTGGGATACTGAGTTTCCAGAATGTACTTGAAATATTAACAAGTGATGGGCGGTAAATTAATTGAAAGGTCATGGTGTCATCGGATTGAGTTCTGTGGAGGGAGAGAGGACATCTCCGTCCACAGGGCATGCATTCAGAGTGGGCAGGGCCTGGCGTGGGCTGGGCAAAAGCTAGTCATGACACAGCTCCTGCTTCCAGGTGGCTTTCAAGCAATATGGTGATGTTTCAGAGACTTCAAAAATAGAGGTGTATTGCTTGTGGAAGTATTATATTTATTAATCTGATTTCAAGTCAGATATGTGTGAGGTGCGTAGATGAAGCATATTCTTTCTCCAGGATGCTGAAAGTCTCAAGCTTTTTATTCTTTTCTGCAATCAAAGATGAAAAGAAAGTTTTGTTGTTTGGGTCACGTAAACCATCATACACTTTCTCTTGGTATCGTTTTGCCAGCCCATGCAAGAGAAGGGGAGGGAAGGGAGCGTTTGATATTTAATGAACAAAGAAGCATACCTTTCAACAGCCAGTGTCAGCTCTGAAAATGCCTTTTCTGATCAGAACCTTTCGTAGATGATGTTCACTAGAGTCCCAGACAGGAAGAAGGAACGAGGGCCAGAAAGGCAGTCTTGCTGCAAGATGTCATAGGATTAATTTTTCATTCCCCAGGAGCAGCCACAGCAGGCACGCTCCATGAGGACCCGCATTGTTTGGAGGAGTTGACCTCTACTGTGAGGGTTGGAGGTTGTGCATTTAGAGCTCCAATATGAATGGTTACTATGTGGGGAGACTAGTGCCTTTCCTTCACCCACAAAAAGTGCAAGTCCGGGTCAGAGATTAGCATCCGGTTGCTTGCTATTGCCTTTCCTTCTAGCCTAATTTTGGAGAGAGGTGAATGTGTGTTTTCATTTTTATCCCCGGATGGCCTGCGGTTAGGATTTTTCTTCTTTGAAGAAGGGAGGTATACGCCCCTTTAGCAGTTAATGATAATGTTTATAAGGACCTGAAGTCTTTGAATAAAAGCTCAAGAATGTCATATTATTTTCATCTGCAAGGTGAATAATCTGTTATGATGGTATAAATATCTGAAGTAATGTGGAAGGACAGGACAAAAATAGGTTTCTGAGAAATGTGTGGCGTTTTTTGTTTCCTGATAATATTACAGCTTTATCTACTGATCTCAGCTAGAGTTTGTCATGTCCAGATCCCTCTGGGCTGAGCCGTCGCTCCTTTGCCTCCTTTTCCAAGGCCCACTTCATTGCACAATTAAGCCTTGCTTAAAACCTTCTCTTCTCATGAATTCAGACATTTCATAAGTTAAAACTACCTATTAAATATTCAGTTTTAGGATTTTGTTTAGATTACTTTATACTTCCTATTTCATGATGAAGGACCAAGACGTATGTTTCCTATTATGTTTATTGTGTCCTGCTTTAAACTCTCTAGCAAATTAAATGTCATCAAGTCCTGATTTTGCTGTATTCAAATTTTTTCAGTCTAACTTTATTTTATTAACTTATTAATTTTATTGCCAAACTTGTCTAATCAGCTAAAATTCTAGTTAATTTACTTTTTATGGGCCTAAGATGAGAGCAGTAGTAATAATATTTTATAAACAGTGGGAGCATTTTTTTCTCAGTATTGTGAGAACCTTTAAAAAAATTTTTTTTTGGTTTAAACTAGTCTATGTGGGAAAGCTCCCTCTAGTGTTTCTTGGAGCAAGTACAAGTGGTGTTGAACTATGTTTTTCAAAAAATGAGCCTTAGGGCCAGGCTTGGAGGCTCACGCCTATAATCCCAGCACTTTGGGAGGCTGAGGCAGGCAGATCACTTGAGGTCAGGAGTTTGAGACCAGCCTGGCCAACATGATGAAACTCTGTTTCTACTAAAAATACAAAAATTAGCCGGGCATCCTGGTGGGCGCCTGTAATTCCAGCTACTCAGGAGGCTGAGGCAGGAGAATCACTTGAACCTGTTAGGTGGAGGCCTGCAGTGAGCTGAGATCGTGCCACTGCACTTGAGCCTGGGTGACAGAGAGAGACTTGGTCTCAAAAAAAAAAAAGTGAGCCTTAAATAATAGGACTAATTTTATAAATAAAGAGCATCTGGTTGAATAAATAGATAGTAGGCTGATCTCACATTGAAAATGCTTTGCAGTTGGGTAGAGGGATGTGCTGTATTTGAAAACATGGATCTCGAAAATAAAGAACGTTCTTTATTTTTCCATATAGAAATGTTCCATATAGAAAATGGAACATTAACTTTCTTGATTACATGTTTATGAGATGCTTTACTTTCTTGTTTTGATAACTTTGTTTCTAATTTCGCCATTTTAGAAATCATGCCCATAGAAATATCCATATCTAAGGAAAGAAACATAAGGTTATTTTTCATAAGTGACACAAATATTTTAAAATCAAAGTATGTTATTCTTATTTTGAGAAGGTACACAATAGAGTATTTTTGCATAACTACATGCAAACTTTTTTCAAACTTTATTCCTTATATAAATATTACTTTTATAGGAGAGCTCCCAGTTTCTCCTAATGGCAGAGAAAACAGTTTTACCTACATGGGTTCATTTTACAGGGGCAAACCGCTCTTCTAATTAGTGGCTGATTCCTGAGTTTTACCTAAAATACTTGATGCCATGTAGGGGTCACATTTAGCAATCCAGAGAACACAGGAAGCTTGAGGATCCTAAAGATGTCTTCACCTCACAACTTAGCCCACAAACAGCCCAGAATTAAATTTTATGTTGATGCTTAATATTCTGTTAGATCTTCTTCCCCATCCTCATCTTAGCTAATGAGCAAGCTTGCTATTTTACAGAGAAAATTAAAGCAGAGGAGAAATGCTATAAACTCCCATCACCCATCTGCCTGCACCTGTGCCTTTCTATTCTGCCTTTCCCTTTCAAACTGCCAGTTCAGTTCAACCTCTTCCTTGGGCCTAGATTCTGTCCCCTCTTGCCTACTTAAGGAGATTGCTCCAGCAATTCTGCCCTGTTTCTTGAAATCATTGATTTCCCCTTCACCATTATGTATTCTCTATTGGAAGCTGTCATTTCTTCCAAGAGAGAACCCTGTCTTGACTCACTTGTTTCTCCTACTGCTGCCCTTATAGGTTGTCTGTTCCTATTGCTTTGAATTTCGTTCTTGAAATTTCTTTTGAACCTACTCCATTAAGGCTTTTGTCCTTAGCTCCCACCATTTTTTCTTGTCAAAGTCACCTGTGATCTCGTGTTGATTACTCTTTTCTTTTGGAAACCTTTCTTACTTGACTTCAGGATGCCATTCTCTCCTGGTTTTACACCTGGCTCTTGCTGTATTTTCTTTCATTCATATTTCTCCCTCTTTCAAACTGTAAGCACTGTGGCTTCAGGGCTAGATCCTGGAGATAACCCCCTCTGTGTTTCTGCCTAGCTGTCTATGTCTCTGTCTCTGTCTTTCTCTCTCTGTCTTCTATACTCTTGATGAACTCATCTAATCTCATGGCTTTAAATACCATCTAGATGCTAATAACTTCCAATTTTCTGTCTCAGCCCTGATCTGTCCCTGGAGCTCCAGACTCATATAATCAACTGCCTACTGACATCTCCTCTTGAATGTCTATAAGCTTCTCAAAATTAATGTGTCCAAAACGCGGCTCCTGATCTCTTAAGCCATCACCCACCTGCAGTCTGTCCTATTGTCGCTCCATTTTTTCTAATTCCTGTGGCCCTAAACCGTGATGTCATCCTTGCCTGCTCTCCTTCTCCTGGACCTCACATTGGATTCATCAACATATCATCATGTCTGTACCTTTACAATTATATCCAGAAGCTGGCAGCTGCCTAACCACCTCCCTTGCTGTCGCTTCTGTGTGAGCTACCAATGGCTCACCCTGGATGAGTGCAGTAGACACCTGCCCATTACCCTTGTCCATATTCCACACAGTAGCCAAAGGGTTCTTTTGAAAGCAACTTAGATCATGTCATTTCCACACTGAGCACTGCACTGTACCAGGGGCTTTCTATCTCACCAAGAGTAGAAGCCAAAATCCTTTCAAGCCCCTGCAGGATTTAGATCTCCCACGTCTCCCACAACTGCCTCCCCCATAATCGCGTGCTCACTCACTCCCATCCAGCCATGCTGGTTCCTCACAGTTCCCTGAACATACCAGGAAAATTTGTGCTTCAGGGCCTTAGTACTTGATGTTCTGTCTGCCCAGAACATTCCTCCCTCTGATATTTATATTGCTCATGACCTTGCTGACTTCAGATGTCTACTCATATATCATCTTATAGAGAGTCCTTTCCCTAAAATTGCAATGGTTTTCCTCAAAATTTTATGTCTTTCCAAATTTCTGCCTTCCCTGCATTATTTTTCTCCTTGGAAATGTTCACTAAAATCCCTTATATTTTACTTCTCTTGTTAATTTTTTCTTCCCTATCTCGCCACCTCAATTTAAATTTCATGAAGGCAGGCAATTTGATTTAGCCATAGCTTCTCACTTATTTCATCTTCTTATGTAGCACACATTGGAATTATATTTTGGTTTAAATGTTATTAAATGCTTTCATTGTCGCAGCACTGTGTCAGGCATATTTTCACATCTAATTCATTTTTCTTAGGTTGCCTTTCAGATAAACATTGTGATTTCCATTTTGCATATGAAAAACCTGAGACCTAGGGGGTATCATATCTTTTCTGTAGATAAACATAGATACTGGACCCAGGCTTTAAGTAGAAACCCTTTAACAGCATGATGTGTACCTTTCTAATATGTGAAGCTATGGACTGCTTCCTTTTAAAAATAATAATTTTGATTGTGTGTGTGTGTGTGTGTGTGTGTGTGAGACAGGGTCTCACTCTGTCACCCAGGCTATATAATGCAGTGGCATGATGTGATCACTGTTCACTGCAGCCTCGACCTCCCAGGCTCAAGTGATCCTCCCACCTCAACTTCCTAACTAGCTGGGGCTACAGGCATGTGCCACAACTCCTTCCTGGTTTAAATTTTTTGTAGAGACGGAGTCTCCCTATGTTTCCCAGGCTGGTCTTGAACTCCTGGTTTCAAGCAGTTCTCCTGCCTTGGCCTCCACAAAGTACTGGGATTATAGGTGTGAGCCAACACACCCCACCTGACTTTGGTTTTGAAAGGGAATTGGAAAGTGACGGTTCTTGCCTGCTCCTTTGTCATATGACTTCTTCCCAAGCATGCCATCTTCTGTCTTGTTACACCAGCACTAAACTCAGCCACTTTTGGGGAGATTTTATTCTCTCTCTCTTTTTTTCTCTCTTTTTTTTTTGAGACAGAGTCTCACTCTGTTGCTCAGGCTGGAGTGCAGTGGTGCAATCTCTGCTCACTGCAACCTCTGCCTCCCAGGCTCAAGCGGTTCTCCTGCCTCAGCCTCAGGAGTAGCTGGGATTACAGGTGCACACCACCATGCCTGGCTAATTTTTGTGTTTTTAATAGAGATGGGGTTTTGCTGTATTGGCCAGGCTGGTCCTGAATTCCTGACCTCAAGTGATCCACCTACCTCGCCTCAGCCTCCCAAAGTGCTGGGATTACAGGTGTGACCCACTACGCCCGGCCTCATTCTCTTTATCAAATCATGATTCCCCAGATTTTTTCCTGTGAGTTACTCTTTTATATTTTCTATCTGATCACTTTTACACATTTGTAACAGTCATAGGATAAGAAGGCACAAGTCGTACCTTTTACAGAAGGAATTCAACTGGAGAAGCAGTGAGACAGCATGAGAGGAGAGAACTTAGTAGAATGGTTTAAGAAATGTTTCTCTGACAATTTGGCCTAACTTAGAGGCCATCAAAAAGGCAGCAGTTAGAAAAGAGCTGAACCATAAATGGGTTTGGAGCAAAGTTGCCAAGAATATCTAAGAACTAAAGCCTGGTCTGAGAGGAAACTGTCTTGGCTCATAGCCCGAGGATCAAAAACAAAGCTACTTGTATGACTCTGGTTTAAGTCACAGAGATACTCTTGCTTTCTTTGGCCCCAATAGTGTAGTCTCTTGTAATCTCGTTCTTTTCCTCTTCAGTGGTTTGACTTTTGATGTTAACAGTTTATTGCCACATCTGTAAAATAAGACAGTGGGGACCGGTGATTCCTTAAGGAGACCCTTAGTTTTACAGTTTTACAGTTCTATCATTTTCAAATCAGTGTATTACTCTATTCTATTTTGAATCTAGACTCAGTTTTAGACTTCTATTTTACTTTGGAAAATTTGCTTTAAAGAATAATTTAGATTTTTAACTAAATACAAAGAAACTCTGAAGTATTTTAGGATAAAAGTTAAAATGAGATTGTCAAACAGCTTCACCCTAAAAACCATAGCACGAACTCGGTGTGCTTCTAAGGCTACTGGAGCTGGAAAAATGGCTAGGAATGATTAGTGTTTCCTTGAATACAAATGAACTGATACTTGGCATCTATATATCTTCCCAGCATTTTCCATTATATGAAGATGAAGTTTTAAAAAGCTCAATTAAAAATTATAACATTAAATGACCAAATCAATCGTTTCTCAAAATGCTGCATTTTACTTCATACCATTACGCTTTCAACATCATCCCCGTGTTGCCTGGATAGTCTGTAAACTAATCTTAATGGTTTCTTAAACAAGCAGAATTAATTATAAAGGAAATCTACCCTTCCCCTAAAGCCACGCATTACTTCCAAACCAAATATATTTCTTTTCCATACTGTCTCTGTTTGAGTGAGACTAGTTTAAATTGCTATTCTTTCTCATTAGGCAGTTTTTCAGTTTACTTGTTCCCTAATGTTTTTCCTCAACTTTTTTTTTTTTTACACTTCTCTAAATCTTGCTCTGCCTACTATAGTTATTATAAAAGATTAATAATATCAAGCAGTGAAGCTTATATCAATTGTAAAATAATTGATACAGTTCTTTTTTGTTTAAATATGTTTTAGGAAGCTTATTCTCACGCTGATATCCGTCATATCTATTTTTAAACATTTATTGAAGTTCATCTGTTATCAGTGAACCGTGTGAATAAAAAAGACATTGTACTGTAGATTAATCTTCTCTTATATCCATAATTAGTAAGCATGGGACACTTGTGATTATTTAAACAGTATAATAAAGACTACAGTCATCAAAATTAAAATGTTTCTTTTTAAAGAAAGCTAAAGCTTTGCTCTTTAGTCCCAAACAATCTGTGTATTTCCTGATTGCAGAGTCAGGAAATACTTAACTTTTGAAGCAATAATGGTTACTCCTGGGAAGTTTTATAATTGGCTGCATAGTGATAACGTGGACTTTAATAAATACAATGAAAATACCGCCAGCTTATTTAGAAAGAGAGAACTTAGAGCTAATACTGAGGACTACACCAGTTTGGCAAAATCATTGCTCTTCGTGACCACCTCCAGTTTCCAGCTGGCTTCCTGATCAAAGGTATCTTTCCTTAGTGCTTTTTCACTCTCCAGATTTTCTCCTGTGTTTGTTCAGGTCTTTGAACATCAGTGTTTGGTAGTTGTAGAATTTGTTTTATTTTGAAATCAGGTAAAATGTAGTTTATAAAATGTTAATGGGTTTTTTGAAGTATGTTAAGTAACTATGATAACCAATTAATGAGAAAGAACAGCATGACATCAAGGAATCTAGAAGCAATATTTTTTTTTTTTTGTCTAGAGTGAGGAATTGCTTTAATGTCTGAGTCTTGGTACTTGATTCTAAATTGTTTTAGTGAGGTCACTGAAGGTGTAACAACAAAATACTAGCTAAAGGTGGCACTGTGCTTTTTCTAAATATAATGAGACCCTTATTTCTGTTGAATTGATTCCTGTGTGTTAATGGAAATGGATCATTTTAACAACTTGCACACTACTTCAGGTTTAATCATAAAGGTGATTTTTCCCTCTCTTGATTGTACATTATCCTGCCTTTATATTGGCATTAATCCAAAAATTAACTCACAGAATGTGGATCTCGATGAGACCTTATCAACCATCTATCAAGTTCCCCCATTCACTTTGCTCTTGAGGAAGTTATCTGGCAGAGGTGCAACAACTATTCCCAGAGGTCTTGAGCAAAATATTGGGGATAGAATATAAACCTGTCAGTCCCTAGTTTGGTTGAGCCTCTTTCAGTATCATTGTTTTGTGTTAATAGATTAAATGCTGCCACTGAGTAGAAATCTTGCCTTAAATTGGTGTGTGTAAATCGTCATTAGGCTCTGTGGGTTGTAGGCAGATTCTGAGCAGCGGAATTATTTGTAGCTACAATATGTAGCTAGGGTGTGTAGCTTGAGGTGCTCTATAACATTTAGAGTCATTCTGGAAACATACCGTCACTTCCTAGTTTGGGTGAATGGTGAGCAGAGTGAGAAGCCACTGCTTTCTATTTTTGGGTGTGACAGATCTCTTGAGTCACCAACGGGAATTTACTAAACTGTCTCAGTCCTGAAGAATTTATATCAGAGTTCTAGGTAGTTTTTCACTCCTATATATATGACTCTGTTTGCTGTCAGCATTCATTCAAGTTCTTCTGAGCCCAGACCATTTTCCTAGTGGCCACAGGGAGGAATTCTAGTAAGCAACAAAATCCCCCCAACTCAGTCTTTCACTTAAGAGCTTATGGTACGATGGTACAGGAGAAAGAGATATTGAAAAGATACAACACATATAAGAAGGATTCAAATTCGTTCAACAATATTTGTAAATGTATGTATAAATATATGTCAGTTAACACTATGCTACAGGAGAATCCTATGATTCCAAAATATTGTATGTATGTACAAGTACTTGATAGAAATTTTATTTCTCTTGCATTGTTTCTGATGAATCCCTTAAGTAAATGCTTCAATACAAGATTTTCATGATTCTCTGATCACTCATTTCCCCGCTATGGATATTTTACTGTGCTTATATGAGCAGTGTGCCCCTTCTGGTGTGGCCTAAGTGAGTAGTCAGGGGCTGTATAATGCTAGTGTTTATACTCTGTGTTTCACATGAGGATAAGCAAAAAAAAAAAAAACAGAGCTGTTGTTAGATTAGTTTTGCAGAGTCTCTGCAACCCATGTCATTCAAGTTGTGGTTAGTCATAACCTGAGAAAAGGTAGTAAAGGTAACTAGAACCAGTTTTGTGTTGTAATATTAGCATCTTAAATTATTAAAGATTAAATTATGTACTCAGTTTAGAATTCAAGATGATAAACTTTGCTTATATAAATTGGATCACTTACAGAATTACATTTAGGTGTTGAGTTTTTACCTGTAGTCACAGGGAAGGATCCTGGGAGACTACAGAAATTCAGCCACAAATCAGTTTTTCATGTAAAAACTCTTGATATGGCGGTAGAGAAATTCAAAAGACTTGACACAATTAAGGTTGAATTGACTTTATGTGCAATCTCAATTGTAGAATGGAACTCTGAGGTTGTATGTAAATCATTTAAATATTTGTAACAAGATAAAATATCTGCAGTAAAATCAGTGCTACAGGCTATATTTCTGATTCCGTACTCTGTAGAGACACTTTTGGAGGCATACTTGGGTTAAAAATTAGATGAAAAGTATTTAGTGGAAATCAGACAAAAAGATTTTGGGTTAAAAATCAGATTAAAAATATTTAGTAATCAGATGAAAAGTAGAGAGAAAGAAGAGATCATTCTCCTAGGGCTTTGCCCACTAGAATCATTTTATTTTTTGCAGGTTTGCACGGTTGAGTGTCAGCTAGCTCACTCTCCATAGCTTTGGCCCTTGCCAGGTAAGGTAAATCACATACTAAGGCAGTAAGAAAATGATGAAGGGTTGAGGTTGCTAGTCACATGTTAGCACAGATACCTGACTTTGTCCCTGAGACATGGCAAGTGTTCAGGGTGAGTCACTGAAGCTATAGCATGTGGATTTTATCCTTTCATAGGAAATACTTGGTCTAGCAAGCGGAAATTCTTGTTATTTGTAAACTATGAATGTTCTAGCAGTATATCCCAAATAATTACAACAGCCCCTCCTTATCCACAGTTTCAGTCACCTGTGGTCATCTGTGGTCCGAAAATATTAAATGGATGTGGCAATAAACTGTTAACATCTCTGAACTCAGAGACCTTGTGGGAGGAATGTGCCTTGTATGTTGGAGAAATAGCAAGGAGGCCATTGTGGCTGGAGCTGAGTAGAAGGGAATTTAGTAGGAGATAAACTCTAGGAACCAATTGCCAATCAGGAAATCTTTGAATCCACCTACGATCTGGAACTGCACCGCCCCCACCATGCACACTCCCCACCCTGCCCCTTTGAGTTCTCCCACCTTTGTGGATCGAACCAATGTACATCTTACATATACTGATTGATGTCTCATGTCTCCCTAACATGTAGAAAACCAAGCTGTAGCCCAACCACCTTGGGCACATGTTCTCAGAACCTCCTGAGGCTGTGTCATGGTCATGCCCTTAACCTTGGCAAAATAAACTTTTAAACTGATTGAGACCTGTCTCAGATACTTTTTGGTTTATAGAATGTACCACATTTTATTTATCTCTTCACTTGCTGATGGACGTTTGGATTGTTCTCAGTTTTAGAGTTGTGAACCAGAAAATCTGAGACAGGTCTCAGTTAATTTAGAAAGTGTATTTTGCCAAGGTTGAGGATGCGCACCTGTGACACAGCCCCAGGAAGTCCTGATGACATGTCCCCAGGGTGGTTAGGGCACAGCTTGGTTTTATACACTTCAGGCAGACATGAGACATCAGTCAATATATGTAAGAAGTACCTTGGATCCGTCTGGAAAGGCGGGACAATTTGAAGCAAAGGCAGGAAGACTCAAAGCAGGGAGGGAGTTTTTAGGTCATAAACAGGTGCTATGGTTACATTCTTTTGAGTTTCTGATTAACCTTTCCAAAGGAGGCAATCAGATATGCATCTATCTCAGTGAGCAGAGGGGTGACTTTGAATAGATAGGAGGTAGGTTTGCCCTAAGCAATTTTCAGCTTGAGTTTTCCTTAGTGATTTTGGGGGCCTAAGATATTTTCCTTTCACAGGGTATTGGGACAAAAGTGCCTTTGAATATTTGTTTGTAGGCTCTTGTGTGGACATGTTTTCCAGTCTTTTAATTTTTAGGAGTGGAATGCCTAGGTAATGAAGTAGGTCTATATTTAACTCCTAAGAAACTGCCAAACCATCCTCTAGAGTGGTGTGTCATTTTATATGTCTGTGTACAATGTATGAGAGTTCAGTTGCTCCCATGTCCTTGCTGGCAGTCTTCTTTTTATCTTAGCCATTCTAAGAGGTATATAGTGGTATCTTATTGTGGTTTTAATTTGCATTTTCTCTGATAGTTAATGCTGATGAGGGATGTCTAGGTTTTAATCTCCTCATCAAAAAAGGTTATTTTGTCCTCATGGTTGGAACTTTGGTTCCTTTCAGCTGAGGCACAAATAACTTTTAAACACAATCAAAAGACATATTATGACATAATAGGTTGGCAGTGGCTTATATAGTTTCATGGTTTTGTTTCTGGGAGACTCATTTAAAGTGGGAAAATATAATCCTGCTATTCAATTTCAATTTTCATTACATTTTAATTTTATCTTGAAGTCATTTATGTCAAATAATGTAAGTGTATGCTCTGTCTCGTGTAGTGTCTATTACTTTGTATATTATTTAGGATGAAAATACATTCCATGTGGTAATAATTGGGCTAGGTAAATGTAAATTGTCTCAAAACTTTCAACTAGAATCAGGGTTTTAATTTTTTCCCCCAGGTTCCTGATGTTATTAGCAGCATAAGGCAATTATCTAAAGCGGCCATGAAAGAGGATGCCAAACCCAGCAAAGATAATGAGGACGCCTTTTACAACTCTCAGAAGTTCGAAGTCCTGTACTGTGGAAAGGTGACCGTGACCCACAAGAAGGCCCCCTCAAGCCTCATCGATGACTGCATGGAGAAGTTCAGCCTGCACGAACAGCAGCGCCTGAAGATCCAAGGGGAGCAGCGCGGTCCGGACCCAGGAGAGGACCTGGCTGACTTGGAGGTGGTGGTGCCCGGGTCCCCCGGAGACTGCCTGCCGGAGGAGGCTGACGGCACCGACACCCACCTTGGCTTACCTGCCGGGGCCAGCCAGCCTGCCCTGACCAGCTCTCGGGTCTGCTTCCCTGAGCGGATTTTGGAAGATTCTGGCTTTGATGAGCAGCAGGAGTTTCGGTCTCGGTGCAGCAGTGTCACCGGCGTGCAACGGAGAGTTCACGAGGGCAGCCAGAAATCCCAGCCGCGACGGAGACACGCGAGCGCACCCAGTCACGTCCAGCCCTCGGACTCGGAGAAGAACAGGACCATGCTCTTCCAGGTACACCTGATCGGACGCTGTCTGCCCTTGCCCCAAAAGGTGCCAGATGGAAGTAGCTGGGCATCCAGTTCCTCCCAGCTCCACCTCTATATAACGAATAATCTAACTTTTATTTGTTTTCCCCTTCAAAGCAGATAAGGCAGGTGGAGGAAGAGTGCAGAGGAAAGTAGGGAAGGGGGGAGAGGCAGACGTGGAGTGTGGAGTATAAGAATTAAGGGAGTAGGGAAGGAAGAGGAGGAGGAAGCAATTCGTAGAACGTCCTGGACACCTGGTAGAGAGAATAAGAATCTATAACCAGCATTTGCCTTGGGGTGATTCTCAAATAAATGCTTAAAAAAAAATTGTAGGCCCGGCGCGGGGGCTCACGCCTGTAATTCCGGCACCTTGGGAGGCCAAGGTACGCGGATTACTTGAGGTCAGGAGTTCCAGATCAGCCTGGCCAACATGGCAAAACCCCGTCTCTATTAAAAAACAAAAATTAGCCGGATGTGGTGGGGGCGTGCCTGTAATCCCAGCTAATCAGGTGCTGAGGCGGGAGAATTGCTTGAACTGGGGAGTCGGAGGTTGTAGTGAGCTGAGATTGACCCCCTGCACTCGAGCCTGGGCGACAGAGCGAGACTCCATCTCAACAACAACAAAAAAATTGTAGAAAGTAAATCTTTAAAGATATGAATCTGAGAGAGTGCGATTTGGCATGGAGAAACAAGGGACTTTTTTTCTAGAGAAGAAAAAACTCCAGAGACTTGTATTTGTATTTTGAGTCGAGGACACACCAATTTATGCTGTCACACCAAAAGACGTTAAAGAAACATCATTGGCCTAAAAATGTACTGAATTGGATACTAAAATAATTTGATGCAAGCTGTAGTATTGGTATAAAAGATCATTCTTAATTCTAAACATTTTTGAATGTTGTACAGGGTATAGAAGGTGTCAGGTTCCGCTTAAAATAACTTAATTCCTAACAATACTCTGTAGAGAGTCTTTAATTCTCAGCTTGTGAGATTTGAGTTTCCTTGGGGGGAAAGAAAAGAGTGACTGTCTTTTTTAAACCTATTTTAAAGATTTCCTAAGAAGGAGATTCCGGAGTATTTTGGTAAATAGTACCGGTGTGTAATATCAGAAGTTTGCTTTATCGGAAGTTCATGAGGCTTTTTTTCACAAATGATAATATTTTATTATAGAAAAAGCATCCCAAATGCAGGATTTCATAAACACTCGTAGGTGAACAAGTACAGCTTCAAAAGTAAATTCAGAGTAAAGAGGCAACACTTACAAACATTTTGCCTTAAGGAGAAAATGTGATGTTCTCCTGCAGAAGTAATCCCACACAGAACACAAATGTGGCTCCATATCATGAAGGCATCAGATTTGCTTTCTGAGCTCAGTATGCCCATTTCAACAATTGAAAATGATGGCAAGAAGTAGCATTGAATATATTACTACTTGATTAAAAAAAAACACACCCCTGATTAAAAAAAAAAAATTAAGAGACAGGGTCTCGCTCTGTCATCCAGGCTGGAGTGCAGCAGTGTGATCACAGCTCACTACAGCCTTGACCCCTGGAAGTTCATATTTTTTCTTTTTTGTTGGTGGTGGTTTTGTTTTTAATGAACTCAAGGTATGTCATTAAAGCCTCTCTAGTCTTTGGTGATGTATTAACTGAATTTCCCCTTTTCTTGGGGTTATCAGATTTGTTCTTTTTTTAGTTAGTCACAGTCCTTGTTGTTAATTTTTCTGAATGGGTTATTTTCAAAGATTTTAATTCATTAGCCCAATTACAGATACATCCTTTTGCTGACCATTTAGAAGAAAGTATGATTATAACTTATTTTTTAAAATTACTATTTTTAGAAATCATGAAGTGAGGAAAGTTTGCATATTTTTTAAAAAGACAGTTGTTTCTAATCTGAAAAATATTTGTATCTTATAATAATTGAAGACTAACTTAATTTTCATACGTTTTTTGACAGAGGAAAGAAACATTTTTGAGGCAGCTGATATTTGGGGTTAAAAATATTGGTTGGATTAGATGTTTAAGCACATATGAAATACATATATCTGGGATATTGCATTTGAATCTATATTATTAGTTTAATATTTGGTTATAAAGTAAGATGTTAGATCCTTATGAATTGAAATTAATTGGAATGCTTTTATTTTTAAGGTTGGGCGATTTGAGATTAACCTTATCAGTCCAGACACTAAATCAGTTGTGCTAGAAAAGAATTTTAAAGATATCTCCTCTTGTTCTCAGGTATGTATCAAAGTATATCATAGTATGTGAAGAGACCAATCTTGTTTCAGAATTAACAATAAAATAAGTGGGCTTGACCCCCTTCAAATTTTAATTTTTTTTGAAATTTAAATTTTTATTCTTAAAGGGAATTTGTCTTAAACTAAGGGCTCCTGGGTTTTTGTCTATGGCAGCACCAAAATCCTGCCCAGGTCCCTTGGTATCTATCCTAACAGTTTGTCCTCATTTTAGCCAACTCTTTCTCATTGTAATACCATCAAATCCCTTCCAGTGATGGAATTTTTGTGGTGGTGAGTTCTTTTGAAAATACCTTCACAGTTAGTTCCTTGGAATGTTGGCCTGTGGGACTTGTGGGTATAACTGAGTCATGCTTGCTCTTTATACCGTAGTAGGTAGTAAAAGGAGAACGAGGGTTTCAGCTTATTTTAATGTAAATACTAAACTTTGAAAATATTTTTGTATTTTTGTTCTTTTATTTGTTTTTAATTCACAAACTGTGTATTTAAATGTTTTTTAAAATAATACAGCCAATTATGTACAAGATTATATTAGACATTGAAGAGATTACAAGATTAAAAAGAACTTTTGAAGATGTCAGATAGAAGGAGTATCTAAATGTAAATGTAGGGAGGTTAAAAAATGCACCTCTAAGGAGGTTCCTGGAATTGAGAATTCACTTCTTTTCTGCCTGGTGACTTAACTTACCTTCAAGGAGCTGGATCTTGCCAAGGTCCATATATTTTAATGTTGAAAAGCCACGCCGGCCTATCTTGTTTTCTTTAGTTACTATCTTTTTAAAGATAATTTGAAGTTAGCATTGCTATAGGTATGATATTCAGACATTCTTCCCTTTGAAGTTAACAAGACAGTTTTTGTACTTTTATTTATTTATTTATTTATTTTTGGAGACAGGGTCTTCCTCTGTCATCCAGGCTGGATTGCAGTGGCGTGATCATGGCTCATTACAGCCTTGACCTTTCCGGCTCAAGCAATCCTCCCACCTTAGCCTCTCCAGTAGCTGGGACCACAGGCATGTGCCACCATGCCTGGGTACTTGTTATTTTTTTTATTTTCTTGAATTTTTTGTAGAGACGAGGTCTCATTATGTTGCCCAGGCTAGTCTTGAACTCCTGGCCTCAAGATCTTCCTGCTTTGGCCTCCCAAAGTGCTGGGATTAACAAGCATGAGCCACCATGCTGGCCAGTTTTTGTACACCTTAATTGTTTGCCTCAGTCTCAGCTAATACAGTTCACTTCTGATATTTTAATATACTTTATATTATATGGAGACATAAAATTACATTGTGTAGATAAAAATTTTCTACTCTGATAACTTTGTCAGCAGTTGAAATAAGGAGAAATATATTGTAAATTTCTACATTCCTACTTAAAGGACACAGAAATTTTAACTGAAAAGTATTTATTAAGCATTCTTGTAATTACCAATTTACTGGTTGTCCCTGGGAGATCGTAAGTGCTGTGAGGGCAGGTGTCTAAGGCTGTGGTGTCATTCTGTAGCACATCAGAGTCAGATGTACTAAGACAGAGCTTAACCCTGAGGTGTTCAATACATGTTGAATGAATGAGCACTTTACACATGGTGGGCCTTATGCCAAATACTGAAGAGAAAGTGATGTCTGAACCGAAGCAGTTCCTATCCCAGAGCACCAGGGGGCATCCTCAAAAGCTGTGCCTCCCACCCCACACTCCTCAAGCCTCCTGGTGAGAAAACTCGCAATGCTCATTGGGCAGCTAAAAGAAAAAAAAATAGAAAGAAAAAAGAACTAGCCAAACCAAAAATTGGAAGTTCAGATACAATTTCTTGTTTCTCCTTTGTATTTTTTTAAAGTCAAGATTTGCATTCTGATATTCTGGTTCAGAAAAAGAAATAAACAGAAGCAGGAGGGAGATTTGTGGAAAGCCCTGCCTTTCATTGAGGTAATTGTCAGGTTAGCCATCTGCTCCTCACTGAGTGGCTGGCTCTGCTCTTATTACATCCTTCCATGGAACTGAACGCATATAATGTGGCTGTTTTCAGGAACAGCCTGATTTTTAACAGTGCACATCCCAAATGCTTCTTTCTTCAAAATCTGTCGGACTGTTTGCCTGGCAAGCATGGGGACTACGGGAATGGTTTTCTTTCCTGGAAACATTGCCATTGCCTCAGGACTCTCCGAGCTAATGAGGTCCTGTGAATTTTTCCCATTTAGTGCTAAGCAAGTAAAGGGTATTCTTAAGTCACTAACAAGTTGTACCAAATTGAGGCCAGTGTGGCTGGAGTTGGGGAGGTGAGAAGGGAATGTTATAGGAGAGAAAGCCAGAGGAAAGCAGATGAGGATGGAAAGATGAAAATCGAGGTTGTGTATCTAAAGGTCATATGGGGGGCTGGTAGTCACCGTGCAAATTTAATCTGTGTGGATGTCATATCCATACGGATTGCTTACTTTCACCTCAAGAATTGCAGCCTCTCTCCTCTGTACTGACTTTTTCTTTTTACAGGAATTGATTTCCTTTTTCTATTTCCATTGGATAGAGCTTATTATAACAAAATAGGGGCAACCATTTATCAAACATCCTAGGAATTATATTTCTTAGTTCTAAATCCAAACATTCCTGACAGTAGATGCTATTACTACTGTTTTATAATGAGAAATGGATGCTCAGAGATAGTTATGAGCAACCCAGCGCAATATCACATATCTCACAATTAGTTGAATGAAGATTTCAGCACAAATCTGACTTCAAAGCATGTTTTTCCTTTTCACTTGGATTTAGGTGATTTGGGGACAACTTTAAATTTTTTGCCTACCTGGCTTATCTAAGTACTGTGCTTGCTATTAAGGTGTTGTCTACTTACCAGTATGTATACATTCAGACTGAATGAAAATCACAGATGATTCTGATTTTTTTTAATGGGATATAGGGAGGTTATTTAGCCTGGGTCCAGGAAGTACAATGATTTGTCACTGTGGATAATTGGCACCTGCAATAATTTCTATAACATATCAGTCTTTTAAGTGTGGCTGCTTGAGTGTCTATAAAGAGACAAACATTCCAATAATTCTATGCATACTTTAGGGAATTCCATACCAGTTAATTTGAGTATTGTCAGTATTAGTTTTTCTCAGATTCTTAGCCTCAGATAAGAACAGGGTTTATGATGAATATCAGACTGCCGTGCCAAGAAGACAGTAAACTGAAAACTCCGTTACTTGCAGACATGGAGTAGCATTTTATTACAAGACACAGTGGATCATACCATCAATGTTTTTCCTCCTGTGGCCTTGAGTCGCAGAATGTTTATCAGAAGCAAAACAGTCTGAGTTGGTCTCACCTTTTATTTTATGTATCAACAGGCCACTGCATGAGTTTGCTATGGCATTATGTCCCCCCTTCATTGCTGTGAAGGAGAAATTCGTAGAACTGTGAAAGCAAAGAACTGATGTTGCTTTCCATATTGTTGAGTAAAAAATATATATTCCCATACATTTTTATTGCACTTCTTCCCCTCCATCTAGGGTATAAAGCATGTGGATCACTTTGGCTTTATCTGCCGGGAGTCTCCAGAGCCTGGACTTAGCCAGTATATTTGTTATGTATTCCAGTGTGCCAGCGAATCTCTGGTAAGTAGTGTTATTGCTGTCTGCCTGCTCCTGCGGACACATCTGTCGAACAGAAGACTTGTCTCTTAGGAGCCCAAGCCTTGCAATATGGCTATCTATGGGAAAAGAAGAAGGCGTCTAGAAATATGTTCCTCCCCTTCAAAGCAGCACAGCAGTAGAAAAGCAAAAACAAATTGTCATGGTAAAATATATGCCTACATACTTTTGTGGGTTTAATAAACCCAGTCATGGAAACTTGAGCTTTTTAAAAGGCAGGAAAAGACTAATAATAGGAGAAAAGCTGTTACTTTTTTCATTGCTCATATGAGAAGATAAGGAAGGCCATTGATCTTTTATTTTCTTAACTGCTATAACATTGCAGAGTAGATAATGCTTATATCAGCAGAACAGAGAGCTATTTTGGTTTTCTTCTTTTATTTTATTAGCCCCTTCTTCATTTTTGAAATATCATATACTTTGTGGTCTTACTTTAACCTTAATTTTCTTCTTTGGCATTTAAAAGTCAATTCTCTTTAATACTACCCCTCTCCTACTCTCAACTAAAGGTAATTGGAGTTCAAGGCATTATGTCCCCCCTTCATTGCTGTGAAGGAGAGATTCGTAGAGCTGTGAAAGCAGAGAACTGATGTTGCTTTCCATATTGCTGATTAAAAGATATATTCCCATCAATTTTGTATTGCAGAGTTCAAGGTAATTGGAGTTCATATGTAAGGCAGGCTTGGACATATATCTGAGCGGCTAAGAAATAAGTTGATTTTTTTCCCCTCAAAGTTTTTACTCATTCTTGCACCTATGCCATCTTCCCATGTCATTTTAACACAACCCTTTAGACATATACATCACCATTCTTAGAAAAGTTTACAGAAAATTATTTTCTTAGACATGTGATCCTCCCACCAGGATTTCTCCCAGGGAAACACATACAACTTCGTCATATAGAAATCAGTCAGGCAGCATTGCCCTTGTGCCCTTGGTGAATATCACAATTATCCCTGCCCGACTCTCGCCTTCCACATTCCCAGTGTGGACACTGAGGTTAGGAATAATGAAGAAGTAGGAGTGAATTTGTTCAAAGGCACTTTGTGACCAGCAGCCTCTGGCCTTCATCTTTTTCTCTAAAAGATAGAAAACTCCCATCACTAACACTTTCCTATTCTAGAGGGTTCCATTTGAGTTTTGTTCTCCCTCTAAATAACCACACCTATGCAATATCCACATGTTGATATCCAGAGGCTGTTGCTAAATGGGTTGCATTTAGGACTTGAGATAGAAATTTGAGATTGTCCTTGTGTAAATGACAGTGAAAGGCAGGTTGGATAAACACCCGGGGGAAGAAAGAGAAAGAAAGCCAAAGAAAACCGATGACCTAACACTAGAAAATGCCAACCAAGTAACAGTTTGGTAGAAAGTGGTATCCTAGGATGTTATTCCACACATGCCCCGCTCCCCACCCATCCCCTACACGCCCACACCTCACTCCTTCTCTGTGTCCCTCCTCTACTCTAGGACTGATCCTTCTGTCATGTTCTGGATCCCCCCACTCTGCTACCTTTCTAAAAACTATCATATACCCCATATGTTTTATTTTGGAAGCACCATTTACCTAACTTCTCTACTTACAAATGCTAATGTATCTCTTTCACATTTTATGTGCAGTTGTTCATCAAATCCTATTGACTGAAAGATAAGAATGTCTCTTTTCTCCATTTCTCCCCCATTTCCTCTTTGCTACCCGATTCTAGGCATTCATCTTCTTTACTTGGGCCCTTGTGTTAATGTCCTAACTAGTCGTCCTGCCACTGGCTTAATCTGCCATCTCTTCATTTTCTACATTATGTTAGAGTTTTATTTCTCACAAAATTTCCTCCTTGGAACCTGGTGTATGCCTCACTGTTAAGGGACAAAATCTATATTGTGTAGCACACAGTGGGGCTCACTTCATTCTCTAGCCTCATCTGATGTTATTCTGCACTTAGACCGGAATACTATGCCCTTTCATGACCTTCTTCACATATGTCGTTCGTCTTACAAGCTCTTCTCTGGGTCAGACCACAAAGACTGCTTCGATGGTTGGTGTGATACTGCTTTTAGTTTGGCTTGCTACTGAAACCCACACGTGTTGGTTAGTTCCTGGGACCTAAGGACTTGAGTGAGAGGCTGCAGCTCTCTGAAGGCCCACTGTGGCTCACAGTAGTACAGCTGAAACTCAGAGGTCCCCATTCACTGCATGGAGTGAGGAGTGTGCCATGTGAGAGGATGCCAGAACCAGGGCTTGCTGCCTTTCATACTGTCCGGCTGGGAAGGAAGCCATGTCAGCCTCAAGAATCTGCCTGTTACTAAGCAAGGAGAGTGTGCAATGCTTTAGTTATCTCTTTTTTTTACTGCTTTTAATTTTGGAAGTGAAGCAGGCCTGGCTCTGCCCTACTATAGTCTGAGTACCCTTCCGCTTCTTTTCTACTGCATATTTTTCAGGACCCAGCTTACATATCACATCCTACCGAAGCCTTTCTTGACCCCCTTTTTTGCAGGAATTGCCTCCTTTAGTTGTGCTATTGTTAGTTCTCTTACTATACTTTATTCCTAGGTCTCAAACAGTTCTTGCCAATCCCCACACTCACTTATTGTTGCATAACCACCTACTCTACTAGATTGTGAGTTTCACAGATTTTGGACTGTCTCTTTTACGTGTTGTGTCATGGAGGTTCTAGGATAGCAGGTGCTTGGTACTTTTGTATTTTGAGTGATTGAATGACTGCATTACTCTGAACTTCAGGCAATCATTTTCTAGGTGCTGGTTCATCTGTGATCACTGGAGAACTTGCACTAAAAGGAAAATGATGTAAAACTTTGTTACTTCTAATCTTTTTTACAGGTTTTGTTTTGTTTTTAGTTTTCATTTTGCCCTCATGCATGTAGAATGAGTTTTGGAAACAGGGAATCACAGTAGAAAGTCTGGGAACATGCTGCATTTTTCCACCTAGCATGATCTGTGACTAAGGCAACAGACTTGACTGGCTGTGAATGCCTTCCTACTACTTGAAGCTGTGTCAGAATCCGAGGTTTGGCATAATTATTCTTAAGAACAGGCCTATGCTAGGATCTCTCAAACCATGTTTAATTTTATTGGTAAGCATCTTAACTGAATAGTGAGGCAATAGAACTGCAAGCCTCAAGAAAAAAATTAAACGTAAATTTCCTTCATAATAGAGGATGGCTTAAGCAGCTGATACATAGACCAAAACAAAACAGTCAATTAAATATTATCAGTCTAAGCAGTGTTAGGAGTGATGTGGTTTGTGTAACACAATGTATTGCAACACCACACCTGCTGATTTATCTTCTCTGAGTACCAAGAATACACAATTAACATTTTCTTTTGCTTCTTTGTAATAATTGCTATGAATTTGTAAACAGTATAGTGTTCTGACGGGCCTGGAGGGCTTTGCTGGAAATTTAGATGATCAATTCTTCCTTTTCTCCTGTCTTTGTCTCTCCCAACCTTCTCCCTTCTTTCCTTCTCCCTCTCTTTTCTTTCTTTCTTTCTTAAAATAGTTGTTGGTGAGCAGCTTCATCTTGTTTAACCAACCCTTGAGATTTGTAGAAAATATTATTTCTTCAAAAGTGCTTTCTCTAAAATAGGTTTAAAGAGTTTGAAAAAAGTACAGGTGGACTGCTACTTACAAATGAAGAAAAAGTAAACTCCACAGATGCAGACCAAAATATTTAGGGAAAGTATAACCAAAAGGAAAAAAAAAGAAAAAGACCCAGCTGCCCAAGACCCAGAATTTGTATGGGGTTAATAGTTAATGAAATAAGCATGGTATTTCATTAGAAATGAAATATTAGCATATTGATAGAGGGATGAGATACAAAATCTGGGAAGTTATCTTTCTCTTACATCTGATATTGAGTATATTTGTAAATTTACATCTGTAACAATTAAGGATCAAGCAAAGTGGGAAGATAGCAGGTAAAGAGACAGGGTGAGGTTTCCAATCTGCATGTTTAAATCATGAGGAAAAGTTGCAGATGTTTCAGAAAAGAGCAGTACTCTGTGAAAGTTTCTCATCTAAGAAAAATGGACATAATTGGCATCATTCAGCCTAGGGACAAGAAGTATAGGTCTTAGCTTCAGACATATGAGCTGTCATGTGAGAATTTACACGTAGTATAAAATGCGATAAAATGTGATAAATGGGCTTAAAATCTAACAAATATGGAGAACACTTCAATACATGGGTGGTTAATTAGCCATTGAAGTAGACCTGGTTGTTAAGAATTGTTAAAATAGGATTGATGCCAAAGACTTGGAACCAACCTAAATGTCCAACAACGGTAGATTAGATTAAGAAAATGTGGCACATATACACCATGGAATACTATGCAGCCATAAAAAATGATGAGTTCATGTTAGGGACATGGATGAAACTGGAAACCATCATTCTCAGCAAACTGTTGCAAGGACAAAAAAACCAAACACCGCATGTTCTCACTCATAGGTGGGAATTGAACAATGAGAACACATGGACACAGGAAGGGGAACATCACACACCGGGGACTATTGTGGGGTGGGGGGAGGGGGGAAGGATAGCCTTAGGAGATATACCTAATGCTAAATGACGAGTTAATGGGTGCAGCACACCAACATGGCGCATGTATACATATGTAACTAACCTGCACGTTGTGCACATGTACCCTAAAACTTAAAAGTATAATAATAATAAAATTAAAAAAAAAGATTTTTACAATAAGTATATATATACCCCCCCAAAAAAATAGGATTGATGCCATTCTTTATTGGATAATTTAAAAATTTAAATTTTTTTCAGAGAATTAGACTAGATAATATTTGAAGTCCTTCACATCCTGTGATTCTTAGACTTATTCTCAAATGCTATAAAATATGTAAGTTTGATATATAGTGTAAATGTTTATGAGCATCGTCTGCATTATAGATTTTCCTTCTAATTTTGTAAATTGGGCTTTGTCCTATCTTATGTTTTTTGCTGGAAATTTAATTTGCCCAGTGGTAGTGCCAAAAATAGGTACTTTCTTTCTGTTGGTGTATGATTGATTTATCTTTGCCCATTCCTTTGCTTTTAACCTTTTGACATGACCTATAACTTTGTTGCAGTTGTATCTAGACTAAAATAATTAAGTTATTCACGGTACACTAATTTGAACTTTTAGTTGCACTGATCTCATAATAGAATTTATAGGTCATTTGGGAAAAGTGGTAGATTTTAGAAAATAAAGTATTTATAATTTTAGAAGTCAAGTAAGTTTTTAGTAATATTTGTGTACAGGAGAAGTTGGTAGCCACATTTCAGACACCATGACCCAGAAATAGCAAAAACATCAAAAGTTCATTATTTCTACTAGATACCTTTTACAAGGCGGTATTATTAAATGATGAATAACTTATATGGAAATCATTTATATTACTAGTAGATTGCTAACCCCTTCAGTGTTTAAAATAAATAAGAAACAAGAAAGAATAAATAAAGGAACATCTGCACAAATAGCTTTTGAATGCGTTAACAAGGCAAATGAAATAAAAATGCAAAGGTATTAAACATGTAGTGCTTTTATTTTCAAGAATTAGAAATTATTAGTTTTTGCTTATAGTATAAAATAACATTTTATCAAAAATTACTTTTATTAATGGAATGATAAGAAATTCATAAGCCTTAAGGTTGCTGATATAACAAAACGTAACTGAATAATGACTGACTGCTTGGTGTTTGATCTCTTCTTTCAGAAATAGTAGAAGAATAGTCTGTTTATTTCAGTTTCCTCATATACTGAAATGTAGAAGTAGATTACATTCTTTAAATAATAATTTATTCTTAAATCAGGCCATAGGGGAAGGGGAAAAGAATATAAAAATGTGCTTACCAAGCATGGTAAATGGTTTGGAATATCAAAGCTAGTTCGGATGAGGCCCTTAGTGCTCAATGTCTCTGTTATGCAGGTTTCATAATTTGATCTAAGTCCTACAGAATGTAGGAAAATTACACTTTACATTTGTGATTGTTTCCAGAAAAGGAGATACAACCTAAAATTGGTTTAACAATGCATGGGGATGAGCTGTTAGTTGGTTTCAAAGAAGCATCCAGGAAATAAAAAGGCTAGATTAAAACTTTTTGACTGGGTCATGGAGGAACAAAAAAGAAGTTAACTGGTAGTTTGCAAGCTGCTGGCCTAATGGTGAGACTCAGCTGTTAGATGCCTCTATGTAAGACCTTCTTAGTGTCACAAATCAGAAGTGGAATGATAATATTAATAAATCAGAAGTTACAGGGATAAGCCAGCATTAGTCACAGACTTTCCCCACCATTGTTTAAATGGAACTCATTTTTATCCAGAACTTTACTTAACACTTTTTGTTTGCTTTTACACTAAAAGTAATCCAGAAAAGTAAATAGGATACCTATTAACAAAGTGAATGTTGGACCTATTTTGTTGTTTCATATAAGTGGCAGACAAAACTTCCAAAAGGATCTTTATCTGATAAAGCATATAATTAAACAGAAGGATTAACTAATTAAACTCTCTGTGACGGCATAGCCCTCAATGCAATTTGAAAATAGCATTAAATTTAAATTAACAGAGCGGTATTATATTACACACATTGAAATAATCTTACTTCATCCAGCTTTCAATTATATGTATGAAACGTCTAACTCCAAGACTTAGTATTTTCTCTCGGCTAACTCTCTAGTCATCAAAATTCTATTATTTTTATTTAGTCAGCATCAACAAAGGCTCACATTGCTGTTGAATGTTGAATGTTGCCATGTAAGCCAACTTTTATAGACCTGAGTTTTGTTTCTTCCTGTAGGTTGATGAGGTAATGCTGACTCTGAAACAGGCCTTCAGTACGGCGGCTGCCCTGCAGAGTGCCAAGACGCAGATTAAACTGTGTGAGGCCTGCCCGATGCACTCTTTGCATAAGCTCTGTGAAAGGATTGAAGGTACAGTTTAATGTGGCTTTGGCAAAAGAGAAGTTTGCTTTGGCATTTGGGAAATGAGAAAGTCCCTATTGTCATTGAATAGTTCTTTGTTTCGATGTGAAACAAGAACCCAAAGAATCATTTCTCATGTCCACTCAAATGTGAGTGGGCTGTCAATCTCTGCTAGGTGCTTGACACACACACACACACACACACACACACACACACACACACACTCTCTCTCTCTCTCTACTCTCTCTCCTCTCTCTCTCTCTCATTTCTGAAGGCAAACTCAAGAAGGTATTTGTATTTCCCACAGTTTTTAAGACTCTGCTAAGTACATGGTGGGAACTGACCAAATATTTGTTGAATGAATGAAGAGAGACAAAACCATCACAGAATGTCAAGTGTTTATTTAATATTTCCCCTTTTCTCCTTTACTTGATGATGAGTTCCTTTTCTAAAAATGTAGAACTTTAGTGAAGCCTGCTTGGCTTTTGAAGGACATTTGTCAATGACAGAGATAATAGAGGTGATAATATAAAGCAGTTTTTTTTAATATGTTCTGAGAAGGAGTGAAGGCCATGAGAAAGAGATGATCCTGTGACTCAACTTCCTTTTCGTTTATCTCTTACTAACAACAACACAAAAAAGCTTGAAAACTACTATACAAGACAAAAAACACAATTTAATAAACACTAGTGAAATGTCTACTCTGGACCAGGCAATGTGCTAGGCACTGGGGGATACAGAAATGATTGAGACATGGACTAATCCCAAGAAGCTTACAGTCTAGAGTGGGAGACAGGTGTATTAGCAATTAAATGTAATTCATTATGATAGGTGTTATAATAGATGGGAAGAGTGCAAATTATTAATAAACATAGCAGAGATTGGTCTAGACACTGGAAATGCAAATCATGATTTCTGTTCAGTAGGCAGCAGAATCATAGGCACAAGGCAGAATCAGTGATGAATAACAGTATTCGTTGAATGTTTACACAACTATGTGATCAAACACAGGTTTTTTTTTTGTTGTTTGTTTGTTTTGAGGCACAGCCTTGCTCTGTTGCCCAGGCTGGATTTCAGTGATGTGATTATGACTCACTGCAGCCTCTACCTACCAGCTTCAAGCAATCCTCCTGCCTCAGCCTTCCAAGTAATTGGGACAACAGGTGTGTGCCACCACACCCAGCTAATTTTTTTAAAAAATTTTTTGTAGAGATGGGGTCTCACTATGTTGGTCAGCCTGGTATCAAACTCTTGGTCTCAAGCAATCCTCCTGTCCTGGCCTCCCAAAGTGCTGAGATTACAGGCATGAGCCACTGTGCCCAGCCAAAGACTATTTCAATGTAATAGGCTTAAACAATTATAATTGTAATATTGCAGAATGTACATTATTTTCAAACACATAAAGCATTTAAAAAAATGGAACATTCTTAGCTGTGTGATAAAGGAAGCATGTAAATCTGTGTGTCAACGGGTGCCAGTCACTCAGGAGATAGTGTTGGATCAATTAGCCATCCCAAAAGGGCAAAGATTGCTTATATTCATCCTGCTTAGTAATACATGCTAGATGGATCAAAGTCCTCAGTGTAAACAAACAAAATATTAAAACCATTAAAAGAAAACAAGAAGAGTATTCTTATTTCTTGAAGAGAGATTTATTAAGACACAGAAATGCAAGAACAATCAGAAGAAGACACTGACATATTTGATTTTATGAAAATTTAAAGTGTTTACATAGCAGTAACTGTTTAGGAGTTATATGATCAGTAACAAACAAGGAGATAGCAGATTGGAATCCAGAATTTGTAAGAACTTTAACCTATAAGAAAAAGATAAAACCACGCAGTAGGAAATTGTGTAAGTCATATTGAAAAATACTTCTCAGAAAAGGAAATTAAAAGTTCCAAGAATGGAAATGTAAGGATGCTGAACCTTACTGGATGTCAGAGAAATGAAAATGGAAACAACAATAAGATACTCATCAGATTAACTGTTGGAGAAATTGTATGGTTATGTAATACGTTTGTGTAATACTGATGGGAGTGTAGATTGCTACAGCCATTTTGGGGGGACAGTTAATATAAACTCATTAACCTAACATTGCACATACTCTGTTATCTAGAAGTTCCATGTCTTGATAAGAAAAACTTTTATGTAAGTACAGAAGGTGACATTTAAAATGTTGTGTTACTTGTAAATAATGGAAAATTGGAAATGATCTAAATGTCGATCAATGGCATAATTAGTAGTATATTCACATAATGAAGCAGTTAATAGGAATGAATTTGAACTATGTGTCAACATGGATGCATCTTAAAATTGTATTGTTGAGTGAAAAAATAATTTGCTTAATAACATACAGCATATATTTATATATATGGAAAAGTACATAGTATAATGCCATAAATTTTTTTTTTCAAAAACTTTGATCTACACTCCGTCACTTTCAGGAAGGCAGTCTGGCAATTCCTCAAGGGTCTAGAGCCAGAAATACCATTTGATCCAGCAATCCCATTACTGGGTATATACGCAAAGGATTATAAATCATTCTGTTCTAAAGACACATGCACACGTATGTTTATTGCAGCACTATCCACACTAGCAAAGACTTGGAACCAACCCAAATGCCCATCAGTGATAGACTGGATAAAGAAAATGTAGCACATATACACCGTGGAATGCTATGCAGCCATAAAAAAGGATGAGTTTATGTCCTTTGCAGGGACATGGATGAAGCTGGAAACCATCACTCTCAGCAAACTAACACAGGAACAGAAAACCAAACACTGCATGTTCTCACTCATAAGTGGGAGTTGAACAATGAGAACACATAGACACAGGGAGGGGAACATCACATGCCGGGGGCCTGTCAAGGGGTGGGGGTCTAGGGGAGGGATAACATTACTAGAAATACCTAATGTAGATGACAGGTTGATGGGTGCACCATGGCACGTATATACCTGTGTAACAAACCTGCACATTCTGCACATGTATCCCAAAACTTAGTATATAAAAAAAACAAAACTTTGATCTACTTTTAGATTTACAGAAAAGTTGCAGAGAGTTTCCAAATATTCCTTACCCGTCTTTTCCCATTGTTTATAAGTAATATTTTCCTCCTTAAATTTTATTTTTCAAACCATACACTGTAAAATAAATTAGTTCTGTGTAGGCAAAGTTAAAAACATAGGAGTAAAGAAACAACTTTGTATTTCTGTTTTTAAAATTATTTAAACAGACTCTAGGTGTGTTTTAAAATATGCTTTCTAATACAAAACAGAAGTTTTAAATTCTCATAAAAGTAGGCAGTCTTTGTCAGAAGCTGGCTCTAAACCTATAGGGGAGCTATCACTTATACAAAGGACTCCGTGTAGACATATAGCTGGATCTTGATTTTCTGGAGACTGAAGTTTTTATAGTTTTAAATATCTTTTTTTTTTTTTTGTATTTTCTTAGAGACGGGGTTTCACCATGTTGCCCAGGCTGGTCTCAAACTCCTGAGCTCAGGCAATCCGCCCGCCTTGGCCTCCCAAAGTGCTAGGATTACAGTTGTGAGCCACTGTGCCCGGCCAGTTTTAGATACCTTTTTAAAGAAAAAGAAAAGTAATAAACAATTATGAATTCAGAATTGTTAGGGCCCTTCCCAAAATCTCGAAGGGACTCTGAAACTTAAGCTTTATGCACTTCAAGGCATGCATGTATCTGAAGGGAGTAAAAAGAAGGACTTGTGAGTCACTCAGGGTTGTTTTCCTAAGTCCCTGGATCACACTCTCTGATAGGATTTTTTCCTTCCTCCTTTTTATGTTGAGTAAAGATAGCAGTAAGACAGCACAGTACTCTGATATTAATAGTAAGAACAAAGGTAGTAACAGTAAGGCAGATCCTCTGTAGGCCTCTCCATGTGCGAGGCACTATTGTGTTTCACATGTATTAGCCCATTCCATCCATATGAAAAAAACTGAATCTCTTTTACACATGAAGCAGCTGAGACACTGAGACCCGTAGTGGGGTAATAACTGCTGTATTCACTTTGCTTAGAAGGGGCAGAGCCAGGATTTGGACTTGCCTAATTGGCTTCCAAAGCACCTGGATACCTTTTCTCTAAGAGAGTATCCAAAGGCAGGGACCCTCAGGGCCTGGAAGCCTCCTGGTATCTGTGTGTTTTCCAAACAGTTACTTTCATTTAAGTAAGATAACTGTTAATTCTAAGTTTGTTTTATGCTTAGGTACAAAGTACAAAGCTGGAAGAAGGATCACATTTAGATAAACACAAATTAATAAAAGTATTGTTAGTGAGGAAGATATTTTAAAAAACCAGATAGTAGTATTTTATTTCACTCATTCAGAATTGTAGTATTCTTGTCAATACATTTAGCTGCATTGAGTTCTATTTTTAATGACAAAAATAAGATAAAAATAAAGTAGATAAGTATGTGTATGTGAGCCTTCATCGTCTGTCCTTGTGTTCACTCTTACTGTTTATCCCAGGAGGAACAGTCAGCCATCTCTGTGGACTGAAGTGAATTGAGGGGGTGGCATCGAAGGGGAATGCTGTTTCCCAAGGACCAAACCTCAGAATGTGAATCTGAAAAGTGATGCTGAGTATCACCGAGATAGACCGATTATCCTAATGTTGGTTTCCTACATTAACATGCATAGTGGATAATATACATGCTTTCAATATCAGTAATTCGCCAGTCAGTGATTCCAGTTGCTGGGAGGAAGGAAGTCCAATCAGATTCATGGAAGAGGGAGCATGTATAGTTTGAAAGAAATAAACTCCAGCCAATTCCAATTCTTTGACTAACATAGAGGACTAAAGAAACTTCCTAGTTTATGAATTTAGTTACATACTTCAAATAACTACCTTCTTTATTTTTCTTTTCCTCTTTTCAATCTTTTATCTTCCATGTTAGTCACTTGAGTAATAAACAACAGGAAACAAAACAAAAACAATCATGTGAATCATTATCATAATATGTTGTCTAAGCCTCTGAAGGAGACTTTCCCAGCAAATAATAAATTGTGATAGTGGCCGGGCACGGTGGCTAACGCCTGTAATCCCAGCACTTTGGGAGGCCGAGGCAGGTGGATCACCTGAGGTCAGGAGGTCAGGAGTTCAGGCCCAGCCTCTCCAAAATGGTGAAACTCCGTCTCTACTAAAAATACAAAAATTAGCTGGGCATGGTGGTGGGCACCTGTAATCCCAGCTACTTGGGAGGTTGAGGCATGAGAATCACTTGAACCCAGGAGGCAGAGGTTGCAGTGAGCTGAGATCACGCCATTGCATTCCAGCCTAGGTGACGAGAGTGAAACTCTGCCTCAAAAAATAAAATAAAATAAAGTAAAATAAAATAAAAATAAACACAAAACAGGGCACGGTGGCTCATGTAATCCCAGCACTTTGGGAGGCCGAGGTGGGCAGATCACCTGAGGTCAGGAGTTGGAGCCCAGCCTGACCAACGTGGAGAAACACCGTCTTTACTAAAAATACAAAAGTAGCTGGGTGTGGTGGCGCATGCCTGTAATCCTAGCTACTCGGAAGGCTGAGGCAGGAGAATTGCTTGAACCTGGAGGAGGAAGTTGCGGTGAGTCGAGATCGCGCCATTGCACTCCAGCCCGGGCAACGAGAGCGAAACTCCATCTCAAATAAATAAAATAAAATAAAATAAAATAAACTGTGATAGTGAGTGGTGTCATACCATCAAAATGAATTTAGTTTTCTGTCTGTGATCACCAAGACTTGCACCGAATTTTGCTGTACATTGCACAAAGAAATGTGGAGTGGAGTTTTTGGAAACTTTTCCTCTAGTTCTCATTCAGTACTGCACAGTGGTTTAAAGCAGGCCTGGTGGCCGTGTGGCTGCAGTATGGCAGTACTGTGTGCTTTCTGGCAAGTGTGAAGTGAATTCTAGATCTTTTAAAACAATGTGTATTTTCAGGTGATCCTCCTGTATACTATCTGTAGAGATCTTGATAGTTATTTAATTTTAAAAAGTAGCTCAAATCTATTAAATCAGTTTACTTCAGTTGCCTGGCACCTCATATTTTCTTAGAAATGAATACAATGAGAAAAGTGCACAATGTACTTATAGACTAATACATTATTTTAAAATTCTGTGATGCAACTTAGCGGAACAAATTATAAGTATTTTCGGCCAATTACTTTGTCTTATTCTTTGTAAATAAATACAAAGAATACATGGAAAACATTCAAATTATGTCATAACATCATGTAATATATTTAGTTATAACCTGAGAATGATAGCAAAGGCAGCCTTATAATAACAAATGATTTTAAAATGCCAGCCTACCTATAAGGTTTATTAAATATTATATATATCCAGAATATATATATATATTCTCTTCATAATCAAAATATAGTAGCAATACTCTAAGTGGAACCTAACTGTAATGAAAATCTGCTCTTTTTCTTTGAATCTTCTTTTGAAGAAAGAGAAATCTGTTCTTTAAAAATGAATGGTCTGTTGAATTACTGCAAATATGAATTAAACTTTCTTTTTTAAAAAAAAATTTAAAAACAACCTTCTCATGAAAAAAGATTTTCCCAAGGACTTAATATAAATTATGTGTAAGAATGGGATAGGTTTGTGAATATCATGATATAAAGAAGTAAATGATTTCTTGATAAAATAATAACATTGAAAGTTCACTAAATACTAATGCTATCCTTAAAACTTTATTCTCACAGAACAAGAGCTGCATCGGGGAAGAGATCTCTGTCAAAGCCGTAGTCTTGCCTTTTAATATTATTACTTGTTCTTTCTTCTTTAAATGTCAAGTTGTAAACTTAAAATTTTTGGCCAAGGCTAGTCTTTAGCTTTTATTTCCATGTGAGGTCTTAGGTTAATGTTAAATCATCTGTGAGTTTCTACTGTGGCTGTTTGTTAGTGTAAAGTGGTATCTGGTTGTGCTCAGTATCGCTTAGAAATTCATTGTTAGTAATTTTTGTTGTTGTTGTTTTGAGATGGAGTCTCACTTTGTCGCCCAGGCTGGAGTGCAGTGGCTCGATCTTGGCTCACTGCAACCTCTGCCTCCCATGTTCAAGTGAGTCTCCTGCCTCGCCTCCTGAGTAGCTGGGATTACAGGCCCCCGCCACCATGGCTGGCTAATTTTTGTATTTTTAGTAGAGACAGGGTGTAAAAGAACTAGAATTTGCTTCATGCTTGTCAGAACGCACACAGTCCTGCCATACTGTGGCCACACTGTCACCAGGCCTGTTTTAAACCACTGTGCAGTACTGAATGAGAACTAGAGGAAAAGTTTCTGAAAACTCCTCTCCACCTCCCAAAGTGTTGGGATTACAGGCGCGAGCCACTGTGCCCGGCCCGTTGTTAGTAATTGTAATGCCAAGATCACTACTGGGGGCTGTTGATTTTGGTGGAGAGGTTTTTCATCTAGTTTTAATCATTTCAATGTAGTATTCCAAGGTTTCTTGTAGGCAGGAACACGTCTCCTTGAGAAGATTTAAGTTCAGAGCCTGCTTGGGAAGAGGTGAAGTGTAATGCATTCTCTGCCCCTGGATCTCTGCTGCTAGACTCTGTTTAATACCTTCCCTCATCATTTTCCTTAGGTCTCTACCCACCAAGAGCCAAGCTGGTGATACAGAGGCATCTCTCATCACTGACAGATAATGAGCAAGCTGACATCTTTGAAAGAGTTCAGGTAACATTATTTGTAGGTCTCATAAATAAGACATAAGGAATGAGAATTGGATCCTGTTTTTATGCGTTCCTGTTTTCATTCTGCTGCCTAGAGCTAAAGATGCATGACCTAGAGTACTACTGGATAGAATAGAATGCCATTTTACTTTTGCTTCTGAGCGAAGTTAAAACTCTTAGCTTTATTTACGTTTGTCTGCCCGACAGAATAAAAGGAGGGAAGTGGTGTTGCCATAGTGTTCTTTTGGTTTGTCTGTTGAACAGAAAATGAAGCCAGTCAGTGACCAGGAAGAAAATGAACTTGTGATTTTACACCTGAGGCAGCTGTGTGAAGCCAAGCAGAAGACACACGTGCACATCGGGGAAGGCCCTTCTGTGAGAAGATATTTCCTACTTCACCTACTTTTGTTGTTGTTTAATAATTTTGTTAATTCTTCCCTTTGTACTCTCAGGTTCTTTAGGGCTAAAGTCCTATCAGAGTTTCCTGAACTACCCCCTCACTCCCCCGCCCAGCATTTTAATAGTTTTATAGGTTTTTTTGTTTTTTGTTTTTAAGACGGAGTTTCACACTTGTTGCCCAGGCTGGAGTGCAATGGCACGATCTTGGCTCACTGCAACCTCCGCCTCCCGGGTTCAAGCGATTCTTCTGCCTCAGCTTCCCGGGTAGCTGGGACTACAGGCATGCACCACCACACCCGGCTAATTTTGTATTTTTAGTAGAGACGGGGTTTCTCCATGTTGGTCAGGCTGGTCACGAACTCCCAACTTCAGGTGATCCCCCCGCCTCGGCCTCCCAAAGTGCTGGGATTACAGGCATGAGCCACTGCACCCGGCCATTTTATAGGGAATTTGAGCAGGCACTGACACATTGAGCTAAACTAATGATGGTCTTAAAATGTAAAAGAATTTGTGGGTTTTGGTTAAAAAAAAGCATTAATAGTACATGTTCGTGATTTAGAATGAACATACATTATTTTTAGTTATATTAATCTATTATTTTATTTCCAATTCATATGAACATTTTATTTCATCGAAACTGGAGATAGCCCAAATGGTGAAACAGCAGTAATATCATGTAAATGGTACCCTAGCTGCAAACTGAGGGATGGTATTTTTGTGCATGTGGTCTAGAATTTATCCTCTGCTGCATATAGAAGAAGCAGGACCACCAGCCGTAACATCAAAGGGGATTGTGAAATATTTACTCTTGATAACACTAATTCAGGTTATATCTTTATTTCACTATATTCAGAACAAATCACATATTGTTAGTACACAGTCCTTCATTTAGTCACAGAACAAGCATTTCTTGAGAACCTTCTATGAGTTAAACTATGTGATGGAAAAAGGTGACAAAAAAACCTGATGAATGAATCATGTCCTCTCCAGAGAATAGCTCAAATATTTGAAAGGGGAATGCAAACAGATCAATAGATACATAGAATAAAGTCAATAAGTGGCTTTAAAAAAGAATCTGTAGTGAGCACAAAAGTAGCTGTGTCTTTGCTTTGGAGCTGGAGTAGAGAGTAAGAGAAGAGGAGATTCAAGAGGAAGGACATTTTGAGGGAGTTGGAATTTTAGGAGAGATAAACTTTGCTGTCAGAACAGTTGAGGAACTGTACTTTTTGGGCCGGGTGTGGTGGCTCACGCCTGTGATCCCAGCACTTTGGGAGGCTGAGGCTGGTGAATCACGAGGTCAGGAGTTTAGAGTCTGGCCAACATAGTGAAACCCCGTCTCTACTAAAAATACAAAAACAATTAGCCGGTGTGGTGGTGTGTGCCTGTAATCCCAGCTACTCAGGAAGCTGAGGCAGGAGAAGCACGTGAACCTGGGAGGTGGAGGTTGCAGTGAGCCAAGATCATGCCATTGCACTCCCCAGGCGACAGGAGACTCCGTCTCAAAAAAAAAAAAGAACATTGAGCACAAAGTTATGTAGTAGTGTGCCCAAACTTACTCCATGCAGGCACTGGAATTAGGTGCTGGTTTTGAGGTTGTGCTTGGGGATTGGTGGGGGAAACAAGGCTGGGATGATAGGCAGAATGAGATGAGGAAGGGCCTTAAGTTACTGGCAGGCCTGACTTTGTCATGGAAGGATTTCAAGTAAGGGAGTGAGAAGATCAGATTTGCACCACAAAGAGAAAATTCTGCTGTTCTTCTGATGGTAGATTTATTTATGGGGGAGGTTGCTTGGTTGAGGGGGTTAGGACTAAGTCATATTCTCCAGTTGGGAGAATGTTTTAATAGAATATGTGATAAGTGATTTAATTATTGCACAAATCTTTATCGAGTACAGACTGTACTAGGAAACAGTGATGAATAATGGCGACCCTTCCCTGCCATCTAACTGTTTAGGAGGAGAAACCAATGTGAAACCAAATACATTAAAATATGATGTGATTGGTATAATGATGTATGCACAAGTTAGAGGTAGCATTGGTACATAAATAGCTTGAATAATTCGTCTTGAAGCATTTATTTGACTCAGAGAGGCCAAGCTAGAGCCCTAGAGAAGTGGGGAAGGAACTGAGTGAAGAGCTATTTAGGCGGCATAATCATTAGGACTTAGTGACTGGCTGGAAGAATCTGTAAAGGAAGGGAGAGGGAGTTGCTGTGAACAACGTCAGGGTTTCCCGTGTGGGGAAATTTGATGAAACAGAGCCGGGAAATAAAGAAAGCAGACGAGAGTGGGGCAGGGGATGAGAATAAAAAATAAGAATTCAATTTGGAAATGTGTTTGAGATTCAATTAGAAAAATGGATTTGGTGCCCATAGAGGAATTTGAGGTGATGAGTAAGGAGGTTGATACATTTGGTGCCTATAGAGGAATTTGAGTATAAATATGGAAGACATGAGCTTTGTTGTGGACCTGAAGTTAAAGGAGGATGTTCACGAGATGTGCATTTCTTTGTGATGGAGAAATCACAAAGAAATGATCATACAGGAGGAGATTTTAACAATATTTTCATGTTTTCTTGCTCGTAGCTAAGCTTCTGCCTCCATCACGCTCTCCTTTCCTTCATTTCCTTCCATTTATTCAACTGGTATTTACTGAGCAGTTACTATGTGTCAGATATTTGCTAAGTGCCCATACAGTTTTTGTATTTTTGTCACATTTGTTTATCTGGAAGCCTTAGAATAATGAATGATCCCAGTGCTTTATACACACCCTGAGCCCTGTCCAGCCCACATGTATACCCATTGTTTTTTTTTTCCTCTCCTTTCCTTTCTTGGTGGGGCCTTTCTTGCATCTGTAACTTCTTAACTGATTTGATGGAGCTGGTGCTAGTGTGGGCCCTTATTGCCTCCTACATAGACTGTGCTGAAGCCTCGAGTTCAGTTTGATGTTTCAGTCTGATTTTCCTGTCTTTTAGATGTGTTTTTGAACACTTCTTTTTGATAACTCTCCCTAAAACATTACATTCACAGGGATTTCCCTCAGCTTATAAATTTGGATTGCTAATTCTTCCTATTTACCTGGCACTTAAGAACATTCAAGGTTTTATTTTCCAGCCTGAGTTTCTCGTGTTACCTTCTACTGCTCCCTTCTATTAGGCAGGTGCAGAAGTAATTGCAGTTTTTGCCATTAAAAGTAATGGCAAGCAATATTTTAACTAAATACATGCCCTGACTTTCTCTCCCTTAAGCAATCCACCCTTTAGGATTTTGCCAACAAGCATCCCCAGTTCTGGGGAAGTCTTCATCCCTTTCTTCCCGCCTGTCTGAATCCTGTGTATTCTTTTCTTCCTGTTTAGACCCACAGCCAATCTTCCTGCTTTGGTATTTGATACTTACACGTGCTTTGTGTTGCTATTCCCTCCCCAAGCAAATCATAAGGTTTCTCGCTTGAAAGTTTTTTGCTACTAAGGACCATGTGATATACATAGTAGCTGCTTACTTCAATGGATAAAATACATAGAGAACCTAATATAGTGGACACATCATAGATTCTCACCCAGTTTGGTTCTATACTTGTGATCTAAGACATAAATGACCCACTCACGAATGAAAATGGAATTATAACAGAGGCATTACCAGAATCCAGTTTTGTTTGGAAAATGCTTTGTTCTTTGGAACTTGTGTTCTGTGTTTTTCTTGGTAATTTGGATATAAAGTATACATCTTGGAAAGGGATGGTTATAGATGTTAATCAGAGTAGCAGTAGTAAAAATTGACATATCAAGTATAATTTTTGCTAAATGCAGTAGGAGTGTATTCATGGAAAGGAAAGGCATGAAGGAAATATTTTACATCTGTCTTTTTATTACATACAATATGAAAAATTAAACCCCTTTCCTTATAAGCATTATGTTCACAGTGTGGGACCTAAATTATTACTTATTAATAGAGCTACTGAAGAATTCTTGTGTTTTTTAATAGCTTAGTCTTAAGCCTATAATTAAAGTTTCATTTAACCTTGAGTATTTCCAAACTAAAATGTATCTGTTTTTCTTTTTTTAGACTATTTCAAATAGTACAATCCCAGAAAATGCAACAAGCAGTGGAAGGTTCAAACTTGACATTCTGAAAAATAAAGCTAAGAGATCCTTAACTAGCTCCCTGGAAAATATCTTCTCAAGGGTAAGATTGCACCAATGGTCTTTCAAGTATGCATATCTGTGTTTTCTAACAGTTTAGCTTCAGTCTCAACAGGCTCACTGATTTCCTTAAAACAAAAAACAAACAAAAAAAAAACCTAAGATAACTTTTAAAAATTATTTAACAAAAGGATCTTTTTTTCTTTTGTTTTTTTGTTTTTTTGAGATGGATTTCACTCTTGTCACCCAGATTGGAGTGCAGTGGTGAGATCTCAGCTCACTGCAACCTCTGCCTCCTGCATTCAAGCGATTCTCCTGCCTCAGCCTCTCGAGTAGTGGAGATCTCCCGCCTCAGACTCTTGAGTAAGGCAGAGATTACAGGTGTACATCACCATGTCCGGCTAATTTTTGTATTTTTAGTAGAGACAGGTTTTTACCATGTTGGTCAGGCTGTTCTCAAACTCCTGACCTCAAGTGATTCACCTGCCTTGGCCTCCCAAAGTGCTGGCATTACAGGTGTGAGCCACCATCCATGCCCAGCTCAAAATGATCTTTTTTTTTTTTCCTTGAGACGAAGTCTTGCTCTGTCACCATGCTGGAGTGCAGTGGTGCGATCTCAGCTTACTGCAATCTCTGTCTCCTGGGTTCAAGCGATTCTTCTGCCTCAGCCTCCTGAGTAGCTGGGACTACAGGTGCGCGCCACCACGCCTGGCTAATTTTTGTATTTTTGGTAGAGACAGGGTTTCACCATGTTAGCCAGGATGGTCTCGATCTCTTGACCTTGTGATCCACCCACGTCGGCCTCCCAAAGTGCTGGGATTACAGGTGTGAGCCACCGCACCTGGCCCAAAATGATCTTTCAAAATAAGTTTGCTTCTCAGATCGAGATTTATTCTGGGGCCTTTATTTGAATTCGAGCAATAGATATTTAGTAGTAGAAATATATATGTATAGAAAAGGGGAAATAGAATACTGATGCTCAATACTATAAGAACTTTAAAAATCATTTCCCATAGAAAGTTATAAAGAAATTCTTCTTTTGCCCATTGTATTAGTTCATTTTCGCATTGCTATAAAGAAATACCTGAAACTGGGTAACTTGTAAAGAAAAGAGGTTTCATTGACTCACGGTTCTGCAGGTTATACAGGAAGCATAGTGGCTTCTGCTTCTGGAGAGACCTCAGGAAGCTTCCAATCATGGTGGAAGGCAAAGGGGGAGTGAGACATCTCACATGGTGGGATCAGGAACAAGAGAGAGAGAATGAGGAGGTGCTGCATACTTTTAAACAACCAGATCTCATGAGAACTCAGTATCATGAGAACAGCACCAAGTGGATGGTGCTAAACCATTCCTAAGAAATCCATCCCTGTGATCCGGTCACCTCCCACCAGGCCGACCTCCAACATTGGGAATTACAATCTGACATGAGATTTGGGCGGATCCAAACCATATCACCGATTCTTAGGAACTTAGAGGAAGTGCTGAAAAAAGTATAAATTAATGGAAATTTATGTATTCCATTTAGTAAGTATATATATTCCATTTTAAAATAAGCAAAATGGTTCCCCTTCAACTTCATTTTCCTCTTCCTGAACAATTCTGCCTTAGAGCTATTAGGTGAGGTCAAGCTACGTGGGTGTTCTGGGCTGTGGCATGGGGGACCCACTGTGGCTCAGAGCAGGGAGACTGTCCATATGGGGTGTGGAATGTGGGGATGGCCCGATGCAGGGTGTGGGAGCCTCTTGCAGTAAGGAGGGAATCTGCAGAGAAGGGGAACCTGGTTTGGGAGGTTGTAGGAGGCAGCATACTGGCAGAGGGAAGGCCCAGTGCGGGTGTCAGAGCCACAGTGGAGGGGAGCGAGCATTCACAGGGATGGGTGCCTAAGCAGGCTGAGGATGTGCACGTGTTGGGGTGGCAGCCCCAGCAGGGAGTGGCACAGCCTGGGTGGGATGAGGACAGTGTCTGTGCAGTGGCCATTGTGGAGATGGGTTATATATACACAGGGACTGAAGAAGTAAGTAAATGTCTTAAGGATAGTGGGGTCCAGGGAGGAAGAAATTACTAATATGAAAAGGGTAGAAATTAGAATGAACCCTGTGTTGGATTCAACTTGGAGGTATCACACTAAAGAACTTACTCATGTAACCAGATAACACCTGTTCCTGCCTGGCCGACATGGTAAAACCCCGTCTCTACTAAAAATACAAAAAAATGAGCCGGGTGTGGTGTTGCGTGCCTGTAATCCCAGCTACTCAGGAGGCTGAGGCACGAGAATCACTGGAACCCAGCAGGCAGGGGTTGCAGTGAGCTGAGATCATGCCACTGTACTCCAGCCTGGGAGACAGAGTGAGACCCTGTCTAAACAAACAAACAAACAAACAAAAAACCACCTGTTCCCCAATAACCTATGGAAATAAAAAAATTACAAAAATAAAACTTGGAGGTATCAATATAAAATCATGAATTTTATATACATGTAAATATAGACATATTATATATACAATCATATAGAAATATATATGTAAATATAAAAAATGTAAATGTAAACATAAGTATATATGTATATGTTCCTACTAGACAGAACCAAGATTCTGAGAAACATGGCTAATTTCAGTACTGCAGGAAAAGTATGATCCCAGAACATCTTGGTGTTTTAGATAGTAGGAAAATATTCAAAGAAAAATGGTGACGTGTCATAAAGACATAAAAACCTTGAAAGGGCTCCCACTGGGACAATATGAGCGTTGACATAAATGATAGCAACAGATAATCTAACCTGTTGCATAAAATAGGCAACTATTTTCTGATACAAAAAATAAATGAATATATTGAAAGTTTTATCATAAATAAGATATTTGCTGTATGTAATTAATATTTATTAATTACTAATGGGAAAATAACTTTACAATGGAGAAGGCTGGCAGGCACCACCAAGTGATCAAATTGAACATCATCAGCAGTGGGACAAATTGCAGCCCTGTGCCACCTGATATGAAGAAACAGAACTGCTTCTGTGGTATTCCTGTCAAATAGGCAGTGCTTGAATCTAATCAAGGGGAAATGTCAACAAACCCAAATTGAGGTGGAGTCTACAAAATAACAAGCCTGTTATCTTCAAGAAAGTCAAGAACAGGTTGAGGAATAACTCCAGACTGAAGGACCCTAAAGAAACACAAAAACAAGTGGAATGGGAGATTGTGAATTGGATCCTTTTGCCCTAAAAGCCATTATTGGGACAACCAATGCAATTGGAGTGAAGTCTGAAGATTCAATAGTATTACTGTATCAATGTCAGTATCCTGGTTTTGAAAGTTGTATTTTAGTTATATTGGAGAATGTCCTTTTTTATAGAAAATACACAGTAAAGTATTTCAGGGTGGTGGAGCTTTATATTGGTAACTTACTTGAAAATCGTTGTGGGGAAAAAAAATTTTTGTACTGTACTTATAACTTGCCTCTGCATTTGAGATGGCTTCAAAATGAAAAAAGAGAAACAAAGTGATCGTTTTAAACCTGCTTATCACACATGCCTCACAAAGCCCACCCAGGGTGTTTTTTTAAATTTATTTTTTCTGCTTGCTGTTTTCATGTGTTAATGAATAGCTCAGGTTATTAATGGATCACAAGTACTGCCATTGTACAGTCATCAATAAGGGCTCTTTTCTGTACCCAGCACACTGCCTGTGAAAACCAAGTAGTAAGACTGGTTGGGTGGTAGGTGTTTTAACTCCTGTGAACAAAGTTTCAAAAGGTACCCTTGATGACTTTTTAAAGTCTCTTGGCCTTTATGTTAATACACAAAGAAAAATTTCACCTTCAGTGTATAAGTGTCTTCCTTAGTGATCTCTCAGTGCCTTTAAAGAGGCAAATGAGTGGTAAAAATTCTTAGACTTTGAGAGGAACTTTGAATTAACCATTGAACTCTATTTGCAAATGTGTATTGTTTTTAAAAACATTATTTCCACCTGTTTAACCTTAGTAGCATTATAAGAATATGTTTAGTTAAATAGTTGGATACATTTTGATTTTTTCCATGCTTGTGCAATAGAGCATTAGGACACAGTAACTTCTGATATCCCGTGTTCCTAGTTTTGTTTCTTTGTTATGGCTCAAAATACTTTTCTAGTTATTTCTCTTAATGATAGAGATCCTTCTAACTTTAACAGAAGCCCTGCAGCAAGCATGATCAATTGTGAATGCCATTATTTTATCAGTGGAAAACTGAATCTCAGAAAAGAGTATCTAGGAGATTTGTCAGAAGTATGCCAATGCAAATTTCATAAAATATGCCTTTTTCCTTCAAAATTTATAAATTAGTAAAATCCTGGTCCTCACCCCAGACCTACTTAATCAGAAACTCTCGGGGTGGGGTCCAGTAATTTGGGTTTCAACAAGCCTTCCAGGTGAGGCTGATGCAATTACACTTACTTAAGGCACGTGTAATTCTTAAAGCACCAGCATCAGAAACAGCATCAGCTACCTGAATTGAACACAGTGTTTAGTGAAAATTTTAGCAGAAAAGACCATTTAAGTAGGTGTCAGGGTACCTGAATGTAATCCCTGGCCCTAGCCGATTTTATATTTATGATCTTGGATGAATTATTTGCCTTTTCTAAGCCATAGTTTTCCCATTTGTGAAATGGATATATTAACACCCACTTGCCTCATGTAATTGTGAGGATTAAATGTTAGTGTGTTAGGGAAATATCACATCATAGATAGGAGGTGGTATATTCAGTAGTAAGCTCAAAACCTCTGTCATTTACAAAATGGCAAAGGGTATTTAGGGTGTTCCTTTATCTCCATTTAGTACCTTGGCATCCTGCATAATACTTGCAGTGCCAACTTTGAAGTCTTTTTTGCATGCCTTCAATTGCTGTAATGACATTTTCAGCAAGGGCACAGCCAATCTGTTTTGATCAAGGTGGATACTGTAGCTTTTGTTTCCCAGAGTGATGCCAAATGACATAAATTTTGCGACCTAACAAGGTCTTGCTTGTACCGTGTGCAACAGATTGCACTTTTTGGGCAGGTTGGCAGCTCCCCATGTTGTATTAAAGGTTACATAGCAAAAGGGGTTTTGTATACTTCTAAAACTTGTCTTTTTTTTTTTTTTTCCTGCTGAGTTGTATAGTAGAAAATTCACACTCCAGTTTTGGAGTTTAGCTCATAATTGCTGCCATTTTTAAACATCAAAATATTTTATTTAGCTAACTATAGTTGTTTATGAAATAGGATCCATTTTTTAAATGCAAAGAAACTCAGCTCATTAACCACTAAAAAGCGAGTCCAAGGGAAAGGGCCTGACACATGAATTAGCAAATCACAATGTAGTAAAACAGAAAAAGCTGTCTGTTCAAAGGTGAAAATCAGAATCATGTAATGGCTATCTGTTGCTTTTATTTTTTCAGTTGTTTTCCAAAACAGAAATATTTACTAATATAAATTTTATTTTATTTTTTTGAGATAGGGTCTTGCTCTGTCACCCAGGCTGGACTGCAGTGGTGTGATCATAGCTCACTGCAGCCTCGAACTCCTGGGCTCAAACAGTCTTCCCGCCTTAGCCTCCCAAGTAGCTAGGACCATGGTCACATTCCACCAAGCCTGGCTAATTTTATTTTTATTTTTTTTTGTACAGACAGGGTCTTATCATGTTGCCCAGGCTGGTCTCGAACTCCTGGGGTCAAGCAATCCTCCCACCTCAGCTTCCTAAAGTGCTAGGATTACAGGCATGAGCCACCATGCCAAGCCAATATTTACTAATATAAAGTGCAAGTTATTTTAAAAATAGTACTCATTTTCTACTTTCTTCAGAGTAATATCCATTGTCTTTACTTGTTGAAATGTGTGAAGTGGTAGAGTATAATTTTAAAGTAACTTTGTTTTTCTTTGTGCACAAAAAAAGCTTGTGTGGGTAAAACACCACTATGAGTAAAATAGGTGATTTCAGTTGTTTTTCTAGTAATAGGAATGGTTTGATACCCATCTGACTACTTTGTCTGTTAAGACCAAATAACCTGTCTGAGATAACCAGGCAGGTGGGCGTGTAAGTAGCGCTAAAAATAACAGCAATCTCATCTTTACTATATTTTCCTCTTGGCTACACACACTAACCCAATAATTTATTAGCCACAAATAGAGTTTTTGTTATTGGAAGGATGCCAATTATAACATAGAACTGAAGAACTGAAAAGAATTTGATGAGGTTCTAGGACATTTACAAAATTCCATGTAACCTGTGTAGGCTAATTAGCTTTATTTGTAATTCTCTTTTTCACAGAGCTTTAGTTTAGGGATGTAGTAGTAACAGCTCAGGAGCTTCACTTTACAATTGTGCTTCCTGTGTCAAAATTGCTGCCCTTTCTTTTAACTAGCTGTGTAAACTTGGGCAATGTAATCTATCAGAACTTCAGTCTCTATATCTGTGAAGACGGGCTAAATAACCATACTTACCTCACAACTGGTATGAGGATTAAGTGAGCTAATGCAGTGTAAAATCCTTAACGTAGTATATGGCACATGATAAGCGTTCAATAATATTAGGTGCAGCTATTAATTTTATTATTGTTTTAGTTATCCTATAGTAAGCCATTGGAGATAAAGCTATAATATATGCAGATAAGAATAAATATTGCTTTACGAAACAAGATAGGATGTCATAAATAAAACACAGTCATCTGAAAAGAAGAAAGAACTGTTTAAACTTTCTGATAGTAGATGTAAAAAGAAAAATTCAAGAGAAGGCTAGGAAACTAGAGTTGAAAAAAGGCCTTTCAGAAAATGGAGCAAACTTCAAAGAAATGGAAAATAGGAGAACAAGGTAAAAAGTTAAAGGATTAGTCCAGAACCAAACAGTAGGAGTTCCAGTAAGAAAAAATGCCTGCAAGGAAATTTTTAAAGAAATAATTTTAAAAATTTCTCAGAGCTAAAGAGCGTGAGTTTCCAGATTTAGTGAACTCAGAAAGTGCACAACAGAGTGACTGTGTAAAAGTCATGCTAAGGCACGTCGTTGTGAAATTTCACAATGCCAAAGGGCAAACTTAGATTCTGTTCCAAAGAGAAACAGCAGGTCAGACACACAGGCTCTAGAATCACAATGGCTTTAGACTTCTGAAACAAAGGACATTTGAGCAATGCTAAGATATTTGGAAGCAAAATTTCTAACTACTACAATATACGATATCCAGCCGAACTATTAGTGAAATACAAGCATAGAATAATGACATTTATGGACATGTACATTTTTTAAAAAATTTAGTTCCCACTCTCCCTTTCTCAGAAAGCACCCGGAGAATGTGCCTCACCCAAATGAGGAATTAAACTAAAAAAGGAGAAGACATGGGACCAAGGAAGCAGAAATTCCAACAGAGGAGAGAGTCAAAGGAAATTTCTAGGTTGATAGTGAAGGAAAATCCTGGGAAGCTTTGTAGAGCAAGCCTATATTGTAACATGTCCAGATTGGGGCAGAAACACAGAGGTCTCCATAATGGTAGCTTAAAAAAACAAGCGGGGGAGAGAGAGAGAGAGAAAGAGAGAGAGGAGAGGAGACGTGAGGGGAGGGAAGGGGAGGGGAGGGTAATTGATGGTTGGTGTGGTGATGTTTGACCATATTGTGAACTGTAGGAGAGTTTTGTAATATATTCGTGTTTGCTGAAGTAGTCACTAACTCCATGAAAAACAAAATATATAAGATATGAGGTGTAAGCAGACATAATCATAGTAAAATATGTCGCTCAGCTGCAAACAATACTTACAGTCCTAATAATCTAAGCACAAAGTACTGATTTAACCAAAATTCGTGATGTAACTATATTGAAGGAAGAGGGGAAGAAAGGTGTGTGTGGGGGTTGGGGGGAGGTGGAACTGGGTATATAATGAGGTAAGAATATTAAATTTCATCTTCCAGAGTTAGGAAGTCAATAGATACTTCCTAAAATGGAAAGCTTAAGGAACGGTAGGATAAGCTGAATACCAGAAATATCAATATAAATAATTTCAAGGTTCGCTTTTGGGGAGTGGGATTCAGAGTGCAAGAGAGGGGGTTGATGACCACCACTTTTCATTATAAACTTGATAGCACAGTTTCACTTTTGAAACTTTGTGCTGATATTACTTTGATTAAAAATTAAAATGAAATGCAACCCCTTACCCCCGACCCCCAAATAAACCTAAGAATGTTTGCAGACAGAGTCGAAGCCTGGAAAGTACTATGCAAATGTTATGCATTGTTAAAAAATTTCGCAGGGTCACTGTCACATGGATCTGACTGGTGTTTCCACTCATTCTTTTTTAGAACTTCGCCACATGCTCTAGAGTTGTGTGGAACTCCTCAGTCTGTGTTTTGTCTTTTAAGACCTTGTAGATGATGAGGTTCCCAACCTGACTTGTATCCTCTTTCCTTCTATAGTTGGCCTCAGTTTCTTCCTATTTAAAGTGAGGGGGGAACAGAAAGAATAATCTCTTAGGTTCTTAGGTCTCTTAGATCTTAGGTGATCTCTTAGATCTCTTTCTGAGATCATTTATAAAATCCACACCAAAGGACTATGTGAAAAAAAATTGATAACCAATTCACCAGTATTGAAGCAGACTGATATCTAGTCTTCCAGAATTAAATGATTTCTTGAAATAGTTTGGCATTATGGAATAATGAATGATGCAAAACCGATAAATTTTAGAATGTGGTTTTCTTTTCCATGTGGTTTTTAACTGATGTTTATTATAATCCTATAAATGAATTATGATGTTTTGATCTAGGTTGTATGTATTAAGTCATTTTCTGCATAGCTTTTCTGGTTTGTTTTGCTGTATCTTCCATATTTGAATCTGAGACAGAGTTAATTGGGGCCCTCACTGAACTTATGGATGAATAACGTGTAATCTTGTAACCAAACTAACTTCAAAAAGCTTGGTCTGAGTATCTAGTTATCTAACGGCTGATTTAAAAATAATGGAAATAGATCAGAAATAGTTATTTTTACTGTGCTGTAATGACTATTAATAAAGCCAACAAATTTAAGTGAACCACAAAATGATCAATTTAATGCTAACATTAAGAGACCACCTGGAACTACCTTTTATAGTTTTGAAGTAAAATTTTAAATCACACGAAGCACTTAATTTTATTCTTTTCACTCAGGGAGCTAACAGAATGAGAGGTCGGCTTGGAAGTGTGGACAGTTTTGAACGGTCCAACAGTCTTGCTTCAGAGAAGGTATCTAACTAGAGCTTGTTTACACTAATTGCAACTTAACAAAGTCAGCACCGATATGGTAATATGCATGCTCCATTTTTTATTATGAATGCTTTATAGCTTTTTAAAAAATAAATATTTGAGACTTTATTATTTTAACTAAGAAGATTCTAGGCATTAGCATGTAGCTTCTTATTCCCTTACAGGCTAACTGTGCTCTGTTAGGCTTTTTATTGTTTGGAGATAGTATGCTTTGGACAACAGTATTTGAGCAACTATTGATCCAATGCCTTATAAAAAATGAGCCATATATTAGTAATTATATACTTGTACAGTGATTTTATTTGTTCCCTTCCCGTGTTATTTTCCCCCCTCATTTTTTAAAAATCATTTTAGCTGCAACACTGGGATCTTCTTTATCTCATTGACAACTCTCGGTAGGTTGGGTTTCCTGTTTCCTGCGTAGTGCAGTATGTCACCTGAGGCACATGCAGCCTATTTTTTAAAATGGAAATATATTAAAATATTTCTGTTAAACTTTCTGTTGATGGAAGTGGGGACTTAGTCCAGCTATGAGTCTATTATCACTAACCCATGTTTATCAAGCTAAATATTTCTACAGTGGTGCCTGTTCTGGAAAGTTTTAACAGCATACCTGTCTAAATTGAGAGATTTATGATTTCTACCCATGCAATATGAGATGCATTCCAGCATAGCTCGGTTTTCATTCATTTCCTGTTTTTCATGTGTTTTAAAAGAAATTTACCTCAGGGAACATGTAATTGAATAGAAACATCCACGGTGAGGGAAGATACTTAACAGACTTTATTTTCCGGAAGGCTTTGCCATGAGACTTGGACACTTAGGCATTGTAATACTGTTTTGGCAGTACAGGAAGCATGCAATTGATATGTCACGGAAGCCAGGAGATACGGAAACACAGACTCCACCCTCTTTTGGTCATGATCTTTTTTTCATCTCTCTGGCAACAGTGAGAGAAGTACAGTAGCTCTAGCGTTTCATCACAAAGTGTCAGGGGAGAGAATAGCTTTCACTTTTTTGTCATCCCTCTCACTTTCTGGCCTGTCTTTACGGATGCTGTCTTACAGCTGCTTATCCAAAGATAAGTGGGTTGTGGTGATACTGATTACAGCTGCTTATCAGAAGATAATGGGTTGTAGTGATACTGATTAGCCTACGGCATAAATTAAGTAAAAGGGGGAGGAAAAACAGTTTTGTCATGACTCAGGAGGAAGATGAGGCACACTGTCACTTTTGAGCTCTGTGTTTTGGCAGGTCTGCCATGACCCACGTGGGAAATAAAGGGCTCCCTTCCGCTTGTGTTTCAGGACTACTCACCAGGGGATTCTCCACCAGGGACACCGCCAGCGTCCCCACCGTCCTCAGCTTGGCAAACGTTTCCCGAAGAGGATTCCGACTCCCCGCAGTTTCGAAGACGGGCACACACGTTCAGCCACCCACCTTCAAGCACAAAGAGAAAGCTGAATTTGCAGGATGGGAGGGCTCAGGGTGTGCGTTCCCCTCTGCTGAGGCAGAGCTCCAGTGAACAGTGCAGGTGAGTCTGACCCTCTCCAGAATGAGACCTAGATTCTCAAGGCACACAGTTTTGATTACTCTGGAGTCAAGGTGGATTGTGAATTTATGCTGTAGCCAACTTTTAGTTTTGAGAAACACCATAAAAACAAATTAAGTTACCTCATTTACTAGGCGAAACAGGCAAGGTTAAGGCATACACAAAAAGAAGAGTTAATTCGTTTGGGTGGAAACTCTTTTGTTTTTCCTTTCAGAAAAATAGAAAAAACAAGATAACCATGCAGTTGTTTTGTCTGAAAACCTGCTGATAACACGTTACGCAGTGTCTTGATGATGATTCTAGAGAAACAAAGTCAGCAGATTTGAAAATAACATAGCATTAGAACTTCCTGTTAGCTTATGATAAAATACCAGGGTTTTAAAAGTCACCTAAGTTACTTTCATACATGAGATAATATTTGGCTATATTTTGTTACATAATAAATTAAAGCTGAATATGAAAATTGTTATAAATTGTATCTAGAATAAGGTGATATGTATAAAGAAGAGTATATATACCATAATTGACAGGCAGTGTCCACTTAGAAAAGATCTTACACAGTATTTAAAACATAATTTAACAAAAAGTTGCTTGATATTTGGTGAGAAACAGTAAAGAGGATAAACTTGGAATGATTTTCTTCTTTCTGTGTAACACAGATCAAATTTATATCTTAGAACTCATTTTGTTTCTCTTCTTTACCTATGAATTTGTTACGGAAAATAGGGTTAAGTAAAGATGCTCGTTGGAGAGAAAAAAAAAAACACAACTCGATGTAAAAGGAGAAGGCTAATTTTTATATCGTGTGTTACAAAATTTGCCTGCATTTCTTCTAAGGATACAGTTTTATTTTCATTGTTGTTTTCTGAATGACTCGAAATTTAAAAATGAGATATTTTATGATACAAAAAATAAAGTTAACAGAGTTCATTATTCTCAGATTTTTTTGCTGTGTGTGTAAAGGATATTAAGTAGTCATATGTATATCAAGATATTTAAATGATCACTTCATATATATTTACTCAAGGCAATAGAACTCTTTTTTTTTCCAGGAAAAATTATTTTCAATAATTAAAGACATCAATCATTTTAGACTATAAATATCTCAATCCTTCCCTCTGTTTTCCACATTTTATAATGTATAAGTTCAAACAATTTCTATCACTATAAAAAGATGCTCTCTGTGTCATTGTGAAAGCTTGCTATGCAAAGAATCTTCTAGATTTTGGGCTTTCGATTAAACCATAGTGGCACAATTCCACTGTCCTCAGGAAAGAACACGGACATTAATGTTTGTTAAGCCAAAGGCATTATGATAACTTCCAACAACCAAACATGTTGTTCTTAAATATTTAGAAGGGTTTATATCTTTAAAATAGTCAAAGTCTTTGAACTAGTGATAATCAGTCCTTCCTTCTGGAACTTGTTTCCTGTAATTATTTGTGCTTTCCTGCTTTTTTCCCTTGAAGTGTCTTTTGCATGTGAAAACAAATACTTTTTGTCCTCAAATTGTTAAGAAATTTTTAGAGACAAACACAGATGCTTAGACATACTGTATAGATAAGGAATTCAAATTGTAAAGGAATGAAATTAGGTCATAGTTATCTAAATAGAGAACTGCATGCTTCTTCTTTTTTTTTCATGTAAGATCCAGCCCTGAGCCTTGAAAGGAAAGATTAAATTAATAGCAAGAACCTGTTTATATGCTTTTTCATAGTGAATGAAGATTTTGTCAAAATATAAATTAAGACATATTTGCTGTATTTTCTGTACTCAGCAATCTTTCGTCAGTTCGACGCATGTACAAGGAGAGTAATTCTTCCTCCAGTCTTCCAAGTCTTCACACTTCCTTCTCTGCCCCTTCCTTCACTGCCCCCTCTTTCCTGAAAAGCTTTTACCAGAATTCAGGTAGACTGTCCCCACAGTATGAAAATGAAATCAGGTGAGATCAGTGTCCTCTGTTTGCAAAGCAAAATTTTCTGCAGTGATATACTGATATGTTACTAAAAAGTGGTTGATTAATTTTGGAGTGACATTTATGCATCCCTGTGTTGTGCTTGTTCTAATCTGTTTCTAATATATTGGTTTCAATCCCAATTAATTTTATTAAGAGAACTTTTTCAACCAGTAGTTTCAAAGCTTTTTGATGATATGATATCTTTTTGAATTATGCTTTTTGTATTGTTTGTGTGTTTCGTTTTCTCAAACTCCAGAGTCTAAGCTTTGTATTGTTAGCACAACTGATGCTAACATATACTAAGTGAACCTTCCCTGATTGTGCCTTTTTTTTTCCTTGGCCTTTCTAGACATATTTAATGGAATCCAAAAGCCACTGATTGACATAACTGTACTAAACTGATAGATACAATAATGTCTTTATTTTTAAGTATATAGAATATTTCCTAGGCATTTCTTTGATTTTTCAATGACAGACTTTTCTGGATCTCAATATAAATCGCATAATGGTTACAAGATCATATGGATAGCAACTCTTAGATAGCATGAGGGATCTGTGAAGGACCTCTTGAATCTTGTGAACGACCTCTTGAATCTTGTGAACATTCTATTTTGTTTTGTTTTTATCCCCAGTATGGAAAATGTATAGCCTGTTAAATCTTATTCTTGTTCTTTTAGTAACACAAAATTAGACGTAGTGATTTTTGGAGAATTGCTTTTTTTAAAAAAAATTAAAATTATACATGCAATAATATTGATCATTCAAATTCTTAGTGGGGTGCTGCAGCCTCTAGAAAGTAATGGGCTTACTTGGGAACCTTTCTAAATTTGTTGGTGTCATAGATGTTTGTGAGATTCATTCCTGTTTTTGTGTATAGCTTGACTTATTCACTTTTATTGCTGTATAGTATTCCATTTCATACATTACATTTTATCCACTCTCTTGCTGATGGATATTTGGGTTGTTTCTTGTTGTTTGATAATTGGCACTTCTTGTAGTCAGGAGAGGAATACATGTTATCCACTAGCCTGTGTGCCATTAACATCTTCTTAGATATTCTTTTGGCCTATTTCTCTTAGACATAGTACATGCTAAAAGTTAATATATAACTAGGTAGCACTCACTCACTAGTTAAAGTAGACTAATCCTTGAATTATTCCTGAGGGTCTTTTGTCCATGTGTGCCTTTTTTTCACTTTAAGAAAAGATAACTAATACTGGATTAATATAATTTTGATCCTGAACTTTCCTCTGAATTAGTACAAAGTCATGTTCCAACAGTGAATTTGATTTATAGTGAAGAAAGTATATGAAGAATTTACTTTAGAGTGCTTTCAGGGACGACCTTATGGAAGAAATTTCAAAGGAAATAGCCACAAAACTAGTATAAGATATATAGAATATGAAACTAATTTAGAGAACCAAGAATATACATAAAGATATCAGTTTGCCGTATCTCTATAATACGGCCTACTGATAAGAATACAACACTTTCAACCAACCTATTTGCATTTTCTTATTGTTATGTTTGTTAAAGTGAGTATATGGAGAATCCCAGTTTCCTTCCTGAGAGAACCATGCCTGAAAGTGACAATTAGCAATACCCATTAAGATCAAAGGTTAGCTGTAACTAGGATGTAAAGCACAAAAGTGGTGGCTTCTGTCTATACAGATTGTTCATATTGTTTAATATAAGGTTATTCATTTGCTTTCAGGAGTTCCTGCTTAGTTGTATGTGTTCTTTTTGCCAATAGCTTCCCAAAGCCCTCTATACCTCATTCTAATAGAAGGATTTTGAAGTCAAAGGGCAAATACACATTAGTTTTGGGTTGAAAAATTTCACCTTTTTGTAGCTGTGTTGTTTTAAGTGGTGTATTGAAATATATGGCAAACTTTTAAATTTCTAAGATCATTAAAAAATCCTTGTTTTCTGTATGTTTTAATGTTTTCTTGGCTATGTGCAATTCTAAAAATCAGAGAGTACTTGTTTGTACCCTTTTCTACACTTTGAAAGTTTGATAGCAGAAAATGAATAGGCCAAAAGTGTACTTAAAAAATTGTTTTCCCAGGAAAGGACACCAATTGAAAGCACACAGCTCAATGGATTATCACAGAGTGAACACCACTATTTCTCTTCACCCCAGTCAATAAATGGAATGCTAGCAGCATGCCTGCAACTTCTCCCATGTCCCCCATCTAATCACCATCCCCATGCTGACCTCAGATATCTTAGATTAGTGGTGCTTGGCTTTGAACTTTGTATAAATGGAATGATACAGCCTATATTCTTTTATCTCACATCTTTCACTGACATTCGTTTGTGAGATTTAATTCCTCTTTTAATGAGCATTTTATTTCATTCATTTTATTGCTATTTAGTATTCCATTTAATATATCTCAATTTTTCCATTCTCTTGTGAGTAGACATATGGGTTATTTCTAGGTTTTTGGCTTCAAAAAGAGTCCTGTCTTCACTATTATTATACATGTCTTTAATTGTACCTACATATGAATTATTGATGAATATCTACACGGTAGTAAAATTGTTGGACAAAATGCTCTCTTAATAGGTTTATCTGAACTAGTAAGTCACTTCAACATAAATGTTCAAGTTAGAAGATTGGAGAATTTTTAATTTGTATTTTGAAACAATTTCAAATTTATACTAAAGTTGCAGAAATATCACAGAGGATTCCTGTTAACCCTTTATCCAGGTTAATCAACTTTTTATATTTTGCTACATTTGTTTTATAATTTTTGGTCCATTTACATATATATATACATATATATGCACCGCTATATTTCCTCATTCTAAGCCATTTGTGAATAAGTTGCATGCATCGTGTCCGTTTACTCTTAATACTTTAGGGTGTATTTCCTAAGAAAAAGGATATTCAATTCAAGAGCATGGTTTCTGAAACCCAGTGGTTTCTGAACTCTACATTCTCATTATCACTTGTTTTAGAGAGGATATCATGTACACATAATTACTATGATATCTGGAACTATTCAGAATAGTGAGGGGAGAAGGTTCATAGTACTATCAGTTATAATTTTCTTGTCAGTTGAATACTTAATATCTTATTAGTTGCATAAAATGAATCTCTAAATATGCATAGTCAAGTAGGGAATAGGGTAGGGTAGGAGATACGCTAACAATACCATTACTTTTTTTTTTTTTTTGAGATGGAGTCTTGCTGTGTCGCCCGGGCTGGAGTGCAGTGGCTCAATCTCAGCTCACTGCAAGCTCCGCCTCCCGGGTTCACGCCATTTTCCTGCCTCAGCCTCCTGAGTAGCTGGGACTACAGGCGCCCGCCACCATGCCCGGCTAATTTTTTTTTTTTTTTTTTTTTTTGTATTTTTAGTAGAGACGGGGTTTCACCGTGTTAGCCAGGATGACCTTGATCTCCTGACCTCGTGATCCGCCCGCCTCAGCCTCCCAAAGTGCTGGGATTACAGGCATGAGCACCGCGCCCAGCCTACTATTACTTTTTTAAAAGCACATTATTTTGAAATTTTAAATTCAGATTAGGCATCCATTTCCAGGACCACTATCCTGAATTACTGAAAACAGGTTACTATTTTTAAGCAGGCTGAGAAAAAGGAGCCAAGATCTTTTTAATAGTTGGTTAGTAGATTTATTTGCACATAACTGAAATGATAGAGGAGAGGGAATGTGTGTATTTTTTCTTTTACCTCACTTTGAATTAATTTTTCAAAATTTAATGTTATTTCATTGTTTAGTAAACTATAATTTTATATAATGTTATGGTAATTTTTATAACATCTGCTTATTAAATATTATCACAGACATATTTGTTACTTTTTACAGTGCTTCTCAGGTTTTAAGCCTGTGCTTAAAAATTTATTTATGTTGAAATTCATTGCTCAGAAGTAAATGACAGTCAAAAAAAAGTAAATGATAGATACTACTTCTATTCACTGATAAAACTTTTCAATGAGAAAATAAAATCTTTGATGATGAAGTACTTTGTGGTATAGTTTTTGTTCTATATTTCTCTTGTATTCAGTGAAAAAAAAAGGTATAATTATTCATTGTGGTTCATTATTGAAGTAACCTTACCATGACTTATTGATGACTTATTGGAATGCCTTTTATCCTGAATCCTGATTTGGACATATTTGTGTGTGCTAATTCCATTCCTTGTTTTCCTGTTGTACCAGACAAGACACTGCTTCAGAATCAAGGTGATTAGAGGTCTACGTATTTTTATTTAAAAAAAATTCACAGATTCTTCCAACTGAACATCATCCTTAGTTTAAAAAGCAGTTTTGTTTGTCTCCTGAATGCATGCCATCTTTCTGAGTGCTCTGAGGGCTATATAGTAGGGAAAATGTGACCCTTGGTGTAATCAAAGACCATGAATTACCATGTAAAATGTTGATTGCAGACAGAAATCCTGTTTCTACTCTATTCCATGCTGAAATTTCCTTAGAGCTGTGCTGTGGCCTTCAACCAAAGCCTAATTTTAATTTTAAATTAATAGAAGTGGATTTGCTAGTTAGGGGGTACATATGTGCCTAAGTGGAGTTTATTCCAAATGCCAAGAAGATGCAGAAATGAGCATCCTAAAAGAAACGTACTCACAAAATTGAATCTGCCTTTCAACTGAAGAGGATTATTCGTCTATTTCTGTTCACCTAAATTCCTGTCACGTTGGTCACTTTGAGACACTGCTAAAGCCGTTCAGACCTCCCATTTGTCTGGACACAGGAAACACCTAGTTCCTTATTATGGAAGTTTGACCACATCTGTGTTGACATCTCTTGACTCACATGCTTTTTTTGTGGTGAACATCTAGAATCACTGCTAACAACCACTGCAAATAACTGTCCTCTGCTTTATTCCAGTTTCTACATGTTGCTTTTATCATGAGCCCAGTGAAAAAGATACATGCCCATCTTCCTATTTGGGGCCACTATTTAGATTTCTTTGTAGCTAGAGTGAAAATATAATATTAAGTATCGCACTAGACTGAGATGTTCAAGGAGAAAAAATCCTCAGAAAATTATTTTAGCAACAATTATAAGATTAAAAAGTGACTTTTTTGAGACTGGTAATTGGCAAGTCTCAGTCATGGTTAGGTGTAAGACCATTTAAATAATACTTCTTACCTATTCTTAAAAGCCTAATGGAAATGTTAGTTCTGCCTTGTGTCCTTTTAGGTATGGAATTAGCTCTGTTTATTACTTTAGAGTTAATCTAGTCTATGATTTCCTTATTTTACACATGGATAGATTGAACTCCAAAAAGGTTTTATATTTTGCTTGATTTTTTTTCAGCTTAGGTCATAAGGATATAAATAAACATATGAGATACCCAGAGATGTTTTAAATTCCAATATACTAAACTTATTTTCTTAAAATCTGCAGTGTGTAGAGTTTAGGAAATAAAACTCTTTGTTTTTCTGCTTCTTTCATCTACACGTTGTTCCACTGACTAATCTATCTCTTTTGACTCATAGGTCAAATACTATATATTGATTTCCACTAGAATAGTTTAATCTCAATTTTACTTAATTAGTAAAGATTTTCCATAGGATAACAGACATGTATGCAGTTAAAAGCCAGAACCTATATAAACTGTTAGTGCACCTGATGCAATTATGAGTTAAATTATACTGTGGATCCTGTAGAAAAAATATGGTTTCATTTCTATGAAATGAAATTGTTTTACTTAGCATTTCTTAAGGCTTACAAAGAGAAAGCTTTTTCAGCTTTCGGTTCAATAGTTGCTATCACACTAATGAAGTTTTGGTATCTATCTTATGTTGAATTCATTGTGATTTAGATACAGATTTAGACAGTGTTTTGTCATTTATTTGGACTTCAGAGATAGAGTCTTGCTGTGTCATTCAGGCTGAAGTGCAGATGCTGGGAGTTTCAACTGGGTGCCAGAGGGTTGGGGGATAGGAGGCAGGTTGCTGCTCAGTATAACACCACCTTTGCAAGACTGGTCCTGACAGAAGAGTTTGCCTTTGTGCAAAGTATATCTGTGTTGCCCTGGCAGGAAGTAAAATATGACTACATCCTTCTTAAAGTTGAGTCTCTGTGAGTGGTCATTAGAGCATCTCCATTCTGTACAATAGTCAATGAATTCTTTTAAAGCAGGCAAGTAGACATTACAATTCTATGTTAAAATAAGAAGTGGGATGTTAATTTAAGAGTTGATCTGGTGAAGACTATAACTGCTTGTTCAAGGATATGTTAAAAGATTATCTTGAAGCTTTGACAAGTTCATATTATAGCATTTGATGGATCCTATATACAAAGGACTTGGAAATAGCCTTCCTACCCTATATTGGGGGATATATGTAATACGGGACATTTTCTCCCCATATGAAGTCTGAATTTGTGTTCACAAACTGTGGTTCTTAATTAACTGGTGAGTGGTAAGAGGGAGTATATATACAATATACCAGTCAAAAATGGGTGGGAGTTCTCCAAGTTATGTTTCCTTCCTAGATATTCATTTTTTAACTTTGTCAATTTCTGATAGAGGTAATGCTGGCACAGAATACTTTTCCTGAATATGTATCTTGGGAAGGAGTTTTATAATACACATGCTTAGATTCCAAAATACAAAAGAAGAAGGAAAAAATTCTATGGAAACATAAGGGAATGGTTATAACTTGCTTCATCATTTAAGAAATGTAAAGATGATTAAAATACCAGTGTATGTATATTCAACTATATTTAGGTGTTTTTTTATTTGGTCCTTCTATTTACAGTTAAAAGTGTATACATTTTGGAATGTAATTATTTCAAAGCAAAGAAAAGGAAGTGAGACATTTACATAAACGAGCACCTGATAGTACTCTGAAGTTATTTCTCTGTTGATATAAAATTAATCCATTAAAAAATGGAAAGAGAAGTACCCAATCAAAAGGCTTAGTGCTAATTGGAGACTTAATTTTTCACCAGAAATGCAGAGGATCCTGGGGGTCCCAACAGCTTTGTTTTTGTGGTCCTATAGAGCTTTGTTCAGAACTAATGCAAGGAGTATTTACACTGGCAGGATCAGCTGCAGTGCCTAATGCTGGATTCTGGACCACCTAGGTTTGCATCCTGGTTCCTTCACTTTATTATCCGTGTGACTGTGGGCAAGTTACTTAGCCTCTTTCTACTTCAGTATTGCACCAAAAATGGAAGTAGTAATGACATCTACCTTGCAAGGTTGCTGTGAGGATGAAATTAATTCATACTCGTAAAATGTTTAGAACAATCGATACCTGGCATGAAGTATGTGCTGAGAGTCTTAGCTTTATTATTATTACAGTAAACACCACGTGTTGTTTTATTTTTGTTTTTACTCAAAAAGTAGACATTATGCTTTCTTACCTAAGTTTAATCAAAGGAAAAGTTAATGTGATAACTAATGTTGTAATAAAAACAAACAAACAAACCAAAAGAAATAAACTCCCTCCACCCCCATCCCAGTGTAGTTTCCAAGTTGGGTTATAGGAATTTTGATGCAGTGTTTCATTTGGTTTTGATTCTTGCAATTGCCACCTTAAGAATGTCAGATTGCTGACTAAAAGTAAATCAAACAGGAAACTGCTATAAGTTGCATAATAGCACTGACTGCTTAAATGTTTATTGGGAACTTGACTTCTGAATACAGATCTTCTCTTATTAAAAGCAGAGCTGCTTTTGCCATATCTCAGCAACCAACTACTTTTTCAAGATGTCGATTTTTAGTACAAGATAAAGGGTCAATGGTTTGTTATGTAAGTTCTTCTTTTCAGTATATTATTATCTTCTATTTTGACTGCTAATTTTTTGGCTTATTACTAGTCAGTAAATTCCAGACATGGGAGAAAAATTTGTCATTGGGCAGTTTATATTATAGGATTTAAAATTTTAGGTTTATGAAATTTTTGAATATCAGTGGGCTAATGTAAATACTGTATGCGCCTCTTTTATAACATATTGCCCCCAAAACTTTGTATTTTATAGGCAATCATGAAACTGATATGGGTACAACTCAGTTTTATTTTTAGTACGTTCTAAACACTTGATATGTCATTAGCAGTGAATTGGAAGGTGATTCTTAAAAGCTGTTTTAATTCCAGCATTAAAATATAAACATTTCGGAGTCCTCTGATTTGGTCAACTCTGGTTTGTTAGAGCACTAAAAAAGTCAAGCTAAATTAATATTTGTTGATCTTTTGCCCTGTGGAGCATTGACATAGTGCTTTTAAATAAGTATTTCATTTAGCTTTCAAAGCTTAAAGTATAAATTAGATGGCTTTATGTAGGAAAGGAATAACACTTACTAGAAAAAATATGCTTTTTGTTGTTTATTAACAACATTGTCATGGTCAATACCTACCAGTGCCATCAACAGTTCAGAACATACTTTAGAAAAACAAAGCTATTAGGACTTGACTCCCAATAAAGGGTTTTAAGAAGGTAGATCTTTTATTTATTCCTGACATGTTAGCCTAGCCAGTATTTTTGTCTGTTTCACTTAAACTTCTGAGTTAATATTTCATTTAGTTTTATAAAATATTAATTTATTCAGTAGATATTATTCAGTGCTTATTATTTACCTGTTACTACACTACAAGCTAGAAATATACCTATGAACTGGGCATTTAGCAAATAACTGCCATCAAGGTCGTGTTACAAAAATGAAGATAATGAGTACTTCAACTGTATTTATTGGGTTGTAACTATTATATATAGAACATTTGAATCATATTTTTAAAAGGGAAATACTTGCATTAATGTTTTCCAAAGTGCAAGTAAAAGCAAATATATATATATATATGTGTGTGTATATATATATATATGTGTGTATATATATATGTGTGTGTGTGTGTGTGTATATATATATATATATATTCAATATTCAGGAAGGTTTTTTGTTTTGTTTTGTTTTGTTTTTTGGGACAGAGTCTTGCCCTGTTGCTCAGGCAGGAGTGCAGGGATGCGATCTCGGCTCACTGCAACCTTTGCCTCCTGGGTTCAAGCGATTCTCCCACCTCAGCCTCCTGAGTAGCTGGGATTACAGGTGTGCACCACCACACCTGGCTAATTTTTGTATTTTCAGTAGAGACAGGATTTTGCCCATGTTGGCCAGGCTGGTCTCAAACTCTTGACCTCAAGTGATCTGCCTGCCTCGGCCTCCCAAACTGCTGGAATTACAGATGTAAGCCATTGTGCCCAGCCTCAGGGAGTTTTTCTAAAAAAAAAATTTAATTATAATTTTATTTTGACATGGAGCCTCGCTCTGTTGCCCAGGCTGAAATGCAGTGGTGCATTCTCGGCTCACTGCAACCTCTGCCTCCCGGGTTCAAGAGAACCTTGTGCCTCAGCCTCCCAAGCAACTGGGATTACAGGCACCTGTCACTAATGCCCAGCTAATTTTTTTTTTTTTTTTTGTATTTTTAGTTGAGACAGGGTTTCACCATGTTGGCCATGCTACTCTTGAACTCCTGACCTCAGGTGATCCGCCTGCCTCGGCCTCCCAAAGTGCTGGGTTTACAGGTGGTGAGCCACCGTGCCTGGCCACTGCCTCAGGAGTTTTGAACAATGGACACATATTAGGGTTATAGTGTTATCCAGGATGCATAATAACCAGAGTTTGACTATATTGAGATATATGTATCAAGTACTGTACTTTCTAAAGTATCACGTCATAATACTTACTCTCTGCATAGCAGCTCAGAAGTCTTTTTTTTAACTTTAATTTAGCCAATCCAGAAGTAATGTTTCCATAAAATAGATCCAGACTAGAATGAACTGAATTGCCTGAGTAAATAAAGATACGATAGGCAGATGCTGAATTGCTCTTCTCACTATTAATTGCCTCAACACTATTGAGTTCCTTTGAGTATCTGAGAGTGGCTGTTCTGTCTGAGCTTTATTTCTGACCTCAGCACTGACCTTTTGATTCCATCAAAAGTCTTATACCTTCATTTGTTGGTATCATCACCTGTAAATATTGGTATCCTTATTGTTCTCTCAGGCAAACTCAGACTGTGAAACTTAAAAATGTAAGATATTCCTGCCACTAACAGCAACAATTATTGTGAGGTCTTCCAGCAGCAAATATAATTGGTCTCAAAAATGATTTTGAGTCATACCGACCTTTTTTTGCAGATAGGCCTAGCATAACTCAAAGTGGTCTTTTTTAGGAAATGAAATTTTGACAATAGAGGAGCATTTTCTTATGCACTAATATAGAATGATGTGACACTACTCCCTGTCCCCCAAAAATTGAGGGAGGTGATTCTAGAATCAATTAATTTCAATAAGTTGGGGAATTTCTATACACTGTTTCCCTGTTGGAGAGGTACAGTGCATGCCAGTGTATTAACAGTCTCTAACAAGTACTGCTATAAAGAAATCTGTTAACATTTTTTAACAGGCTGGGTGTGGTGCCTCATGCCTGTAATCCCAGCACTTTGGGAGCTGAGACAGGAGAATTGCTTGAGTGCAGGAGTTTGAGACCAGACTGGACAACACAATGGGACCCGGTCTCTACGAAGATTTTTTTAAAAAAATAGCCAGGTGTGGCGGTGTGCACCTGTAGTCCCAGCTGCTTGGGAGGCTGAGGTGGGAGGATCTCTTGAGCCTGGGAGGTCGAGGCTGCAATGAGCTGTGATTGCGCCACTGCGCTCCAGCCTGGGTGAAAAAATGAGACCTTATCTCACAAAATAAATGTCAATAAAAATATAAAAAGATCTATTTTTTAACTTAGCCATCCAATCTTATTTGACCCCAGTTTTTTCTTAGTATATCACCTACCAATAATCCCAAGGTTGACTGTTCTGCTTATATTCAGGTTATCATCTGCCATGATTCAACTGTTGGTAGCTGACCATTCAGAGACACATCTTAACAGTCGTAGGCAATTAGAAACAGTCTTTATTGACCTGTTCTATAAGAGCTCTAACAAAAGCTCTTTGTGAGGCTTTTATGGAATATTTACCTTGTTTCAAATAAGCTATTCATGTTATTTCCTTAGCAAAGCATGAATTCATGACTTAAGCAACCTGTACTCCTCCTTATAAGTGCTTCTGTTCCTCAGATTAGAACTAGGACTGGTTGGCTGCTAAGGAATGAGTAGAAACAGGGGAGCTTCTCTTGACTGGGCTGTGGCCTAGATTGCTGTTTCCCCAGGATGTGGTGGCCTGGGTGACTAGTGTGCCTGGTGATGCATTGCTCCATGTTGCCTGTGGCTTGTGCTTGCCCGTGACAGAACTTGTGAATGGCTTGTGCTACCAGTTGGTTGTGAAGTGCCATGATGTGCAGCTCTCCTTATAAGTGATATGTTTATTTGCTTTCAACAGTGATGGAGAAGGGAGAAAAAGGACCTCATCTACCTGCAGCAATGAGTCCCTAAGTGTGGGAGGAACCTCTGTCACTCCTCGCCGGATCTCCTGGCGGCAGCGCATTTTCCTCAGGGTTGCTTCTCCCATGAACAAATCTCCCTCAGCAATGCAACAGCAAGGTCTGTGTTGCACTCCCTAAGGAATTTATCCCTCTGAGTGTCAGAAATTAGCTAATGGAATGCACGTGCTGTGTATAAAGAGATTTAAGTGATTACAGTGTAGAAATATCTTTCTGTATGTGATACAGTGGTTTCTCTTTCAGGTATCATTAGAAAACATTAGGCATTCAATACCTGCTTGTTGAATGAATGAATGAGTGAGACAGTTTCCAAAAACCTGTACTTGGGCCTACTCCACAAGGTAGACGGAACTGTGATAGTGCTAGGAAAGAAGCTGTATGTCCTTTTTCTTTCTTTCTTTCTTTCTTTCTTTTTTTTTTTCCCAGAGATTGGGCCTTGCTCTGTTGCCCAGGCTGGGGTTGCAGTGGTGTAATCATAGCTCACTGTAGCCTTGAACTCCTGGGCTCAAGCAATCATCTTACCTCAGCTTCCAAAGATCTTTTTATTATTAGAAAAGCAACATAGCCTTTTATAAGAGCCACACATAAAACAAACTGACATAGAAATATTGAGCAATAAAGGAATATATACAATATACTAGGCAAATACTGAGCAAAAGAGAGCACAGGCAGCTCTCTTTGAGTAATTGACCTATTAAACTAAAGCAAAAGCATCCAAAGAGGCAAGCACATGTAACAGTAAACAAACAGATAGAACAATCATGAGAACATACATAATGATGTAGCTTTGAGAGCTAGAAAATAACACCTAAAAGAATTCTGGAGTGAAATCGATAAATTAATAGCTCCTGTGGGAGATTTTAACATACTCATCTTTAGAAATTAAATATAAATAATATTTGAGTAACACAAATAAATAAGCTTGACCTAATATTTATAGAGAACTTCGCCTCCTATGGAGAAAACTCATTCATTTTTAGCACACTTGGAACATTCATAAAATGTAATTATGTACCTGTCCACAAAGATTTTTAAGTAAATCTTTTTGAAATCCAAATAATCATAATCATTTATACAAATATTCTCTGACCACAATGCCAAAAAAAGAAAGAAATCAAGGATTAGAAGACAAGTAGAATGACATGTGTTTGGGAATAGAAAACTACTCTTAGAAGCTAGAAGGAAGAAAATTCAATGCTTAGAGCCTTACCTATTGAAACGGATCTAGGGAGCAGTTAAAAGCCATGAATATATTGATATAAAATCAAGAAGGCCAAAAATTAGTTACACTGAGTGTTCAACTCAAAAAGCTAGTAAGAGAGCCAGGTATTAAAATTTTAAAACAACAACAGTAAAACGTATGGAAGTAAATAATAAAAGTAAAGGCAGAGGTCAATGAATATATATAAAAAAAGAAGAAAATAGAAGAAAACAACTGGTATTACTAAAGATGAAGTTAACTCTGCCCGAGGTGGTCAGAAAAAGCTTCACAGAACAATTAGATGTTTATTTAAACTCGTTGCTGGAAGAACCATGCTTTAGAAGGAAGGAATGACGAAGCTCTGGAGTCATTTGAGTGAACTTTGCAGATCAGAGAATCATGAGAAATTCAGCATGATGAATGCAAAGAATAGAAGATTGAGATATGAGGCTGGAAATCTGAGTGGAGACCAGAATCTGAAGGAACTTAAATGCTAGTCCCAATTTGTTCTTGCGATATAAGCAACCATTGAAATGTTTTAAGAGATGTGATTATGGTTGTTAATAGGAAAATCATTGGCAGTAGGAAGGGAGAGAATGAGTCACCTGTTAAGGGAGTGTTGCACATGGAATACTGCACAGCCATGAAAAATAATGAAATCATGTCCTTTGGAGCCACATGGATGTAGCTGGAGGTTATTATCCTAAGAATTAACACAGGAGCAGAAAACCAAATACTGCATGTTCTCACTTATAAGCGGGATCTAAACATTGAGTACACATAGAAACAAAGAAGGGAACATTAGACACCGGGACCCCCTTGAGGGTGGAGGGTGGGAGGAGGATGAGGATTGAAAAACTACCTCTCAGGTACTGTGCTCACTACCTGGGTGGCGAAGTCATTTCATTTGTACATTGTACCCCAGAGTCACGTAATTTACCCATGTAGCAAACCTGCACATGGACCCCTTCAACCTAAAATAAAAATTGAAAAAGAAAAAGAAAAAGGTGTTGCAGGAGGAATGAGCAGAGGGAGTACTGTGCTCAGCCAGGAGAGGCCCAGCATTGCTCAGTGGCTATGCTCCTGACGGATTCTGATGATCGATGTAGACCTTCGGAGATCACTGATACCTAGCCACTTAATCTCGTTCCTCACAGCCAGAGAATATACGTAAGTAAATTGCAGAAGTGTTGGACTCAGGAGAGGCCAGTTAGTTTTGGGGCACCTCTCTTACAGAGCTCTTTGGGTGGAAAGAAGAAGTGGTGAAATGACCTATGCTTCTGTTTCATCATGACAGGGAAATCTGGAAGGGGAATTCAGTCTAGTGAATTTACTTAAATATTAGCTGCAGAAACTAAGTTACAGGGAAAGCGGCTTTGTGACATTTTTAAGTGTAGAAGATCAGATGAGAATGTGAATTCTACAGAAACTTGGGTAGTCTGGGTTACTGCTAAGGAATGCCTCTCACTGTGTTCTTCTCTGCAGATGGATTGGACAGGAACGAGCTGCTGCCACTGTCCCCCCTCTCTCCAACCATGGAGGAGGAACCGCTGGTTGTATTCCTGTCTGGGGAGGATGACCCAGAAAAGATTGAAGAAAGAAAGAAATCAAAAGAACTGAGGAGCTTGTGGAGAAAAGCTATACACCAACAAATCTTGTTACTTCGAATGGAAAAAGAAAACCAGAAACTTGAAGGTTAGCCATTTTAACAGACTAAATGCTATGATGCTATGATTGAAGGGTGTATGTTAAACCTACCTTTCTCTCCCCATACATACTATCCGCACTCAGTTTTGGACTGTATGCACACTTTAAGAAGAATACCTACTGATTATAATTGTTGATTTCCATTTTGTGAGGTGGTTATAACATGGGAAAGGTCAGCTTAAGATATTTGTGGTTTTGTTTTAAATGGGTTTGCATTTTAAATAGATTTAAGACTTAAGAAACTCTTAGAGTATATTTAGGTAAAATAGAATGTAGATAATATGGAATCAATGTATTTGATGTGTCTGAAAGTTCATTATCTTAGTGTCACTTCTAAAAAATCCTTAAATATGAGAAAGCAAATTTTCTTTTCTTTGAATGTGATTTTCAAGTTTCAGGTTAATTACATTCATAATGGGAGAAATATGCCTACCTCAAGTAAATCCTACTTACATTGTATTCAATTTAACTATTTAATTATAATTATCTGTTATCAAGCCAAACCTATTCCTATTTTTTGTTAATGCTTTATAAATTTTCTATTTAACAAAGTCGTATTCAAATCATTATATTTATAATCAAATAATTTATAATAGATTTTGTACTGTTTGTGGTGCCTTATTGCTAAGATTATGATTACCAAATGCTTTGGAATGTGTTTTTCAGCCTTTGAAAGAATGATATAATTTACTCCAGTACTGATAGAACCACATACAAGGAGATGCTAAGAAATCCAAAAAAATGTATAAATTTCATTATTTTGGGAAAATCACTTAACCTGAAAGGGTCTCATTTTTACACTTGTAAAATGAAACATTTAACATAAGTGGTCCGTTTGACTTTTAAGATTATTGGCACAAGTATAATTTAGATATTTCTCTCACTTGCCTTTATTTTGTGGTCTTTCATACAGCTTTTTTAGTATAGGTATTCCACATTTCTGACTTTATCATCTACCTTAAGATTCTTGTTACTACACCTATGATTCAATTTAATTTTTTTATTTTAACAATATATAGTTTGCAAGAGCACATTTTTTAAAATCGCTGTTAGCAGAGTGAAAAGTACATAGGATTTTAAATATCCTTTGGAAATACATCTTCTTTTCTTCAAAATTAAAAATGCTATTACTTGTCGTTAGCATAATTTTAAAAGTTCAGTTTGATAAATGGTCTGCCCACTTGAGGTTTCGCAGGCTTCAAAAGAAATTGAATTCATATTTGTAAGCAAGTAGTTATATTTTGAACTAACTCAGAAAAAGAGGTTGAAAAAAAGGTGGTCATCCTTTCCTCAAAAAATTTAATGCATGAAACTGTATTTCACTTGGGAGTATGTACAAATAAAATCTGATATTAAATATCAAAAGGTGGTTTCAGAATCATAGACTATTTGAAGTAGAAATAGCCTTAGAGATTACTTAGCTAGATTCTTCATTCTACAGTAGAAGTAGTGACTGGCTTGGGAAAGGTAGAGAATTAACCTAAGGTCAAATAGTGACATACTGGCAGAGCAAGTACCAAAACTCAGGTTTATTCATCGTGGTTCTCGGGCTTTCCCCAGCACCCCACAGTATTTCTCAGCTGTGTATGTTAATATAAGGAAATGGAATGTTTTACATAAATGGCTGCTGTGTATTCTGAGATCAGTTATACTATATGATTTTACAGGTTAAGAAAGGAGGTGACATTTAGAATACATTCTCAGAAACCTTCATCGGTTCTCTGTTTCTCTGCCTACATAACAAAGATAAAAAATAGTTTAACCTATGAAAATTCTAACCAATGGATAATTATTTCTTGATAGTTCTTTAGTCTTTTCTAGTTAAACAGTTAAGGGCAGATATTAACTGTCCCTGTTCACCATTTTATCCTCAGGGTGTGCGGCTGGCACATAAGCAGATGCTCGTGATTATTTTAAATGATCAATAATCTAGAGAAGATTAGAGAAAAACTCTAAGGAAGTAATTATGTTTTGTCCATCATGAAGAAAATAATTAGTAAAGTTATATATAGGAGTATATTTGTTTTTAGCCTTAATAAAGCCACACCTTTTAAAAAATTACTTGGTTATCAGAGAAATATAAAGCAAATAGCCAAACAGCCAAGCTAGACAGTGTTAGAAAGCCATCTGTGGTATCCGGAAGGAATAGTTTTGTACTGTGATTTATCTTTAGATTATGTTTGGACTTTTAAGTAGGAATTTTTACTGCCTTGCTTGAATAACAGTTTGTTATAAGATATTTTAAGTCTTTTGAAATGGTTTCAAACACACTAAGTAAAGAGTAACTTTCATTCTGCTGTTGTTTTTGTGCTGTCGAGGACTTGGGATGCATGACAAAGATTTGTGTTGCAGGAGGTAAGGTGGCCGAGCGCTGTGAGCATGCATGAATACAGATTGCTCTGAGATGTTCCTGTCCACCGTGATCCTAATGAAGAGAAGAAGTATACTCTTGTGTCTGCTCTTCCTTCTCTTTTGAAATCAGTTTTTCATGATAAAGAACAAATCAAGATACTGGTTGCTTTTATAGACATTTCTTTTAATGAGCTCTGGGCGGATATGTTAGACCATCAAATTAGAGAGAACTCTATATTATTTTAAAAATAGAATTAGTGTTAACTTCAGTGAAAGGAATTTTTCTTTTTAAGTTTATTACAAATGAACACAGGAGGGCTGGGTGCAGTGGCTCACACCTGTTATCCCAGCTCTTTGGGAGGCTGAGGTAGGAGGATTGCTTGAGGCCAGGAGTTTAAGACCAGCCTGGGCAGCATAGCAAGACCCCATCTTTACAAAAAAGTTTGTCAAATTAGCCAAGTGTAGTGGCGCATGCCTGTAGTCCTAGCTACCCAGGAGGCTGAGATGGGAGCTCAGGAGGTTGAGGCTGCAGTGAGCTATGATTGCACCACTGCACTCCAGCTTGGGGTACAGAGTGAGACCCTGTCTCTAAGAAACAAAAGCAAAAACAAACGAAAGAGAAAATAACGAACATGGGAACACATAAGCTAGTTTTATTAGTTATTAAGGGCAGTATGGATAACTCTGGAAACAGTTATAAAAATGTATCATGTTATGGTCATATATTTTTCAAATCAAGATGAGCATGAGTCTTTGTCTTCTCATGTATGGCACATATAAAATATTAACACTTCAGTGGTGTCAAAAAATGGAAAATTATAGAATGATCAACACGGTTTACTTTTTATACTTAGCAGAGTCGCCATATGTAAGATACAGAGTAAAACCTCCTTAGGAGGTTATTCCTCATTTTTTTTCTCACATGAAATGACTCAAAGCTTGGGACCCTTTCATGTATCCTCAATTTGTTTTAAATTTTCTTTTTGAGATACACTACCAGTTGATTCCTGAAAGTCATTTGGTATGGTTTTACAAATACAATCAAACGTCTAAAGTTTTACATTTGAAAAACACATTGGTCTTACGTAAATTGTTTTTTTCCTTAGCAAGCAGAGATGAACTCCAGTCCAGAAAAGTTAAATTAGACTATGAAGAAGTTGGTGCATGTCAGAAAGAGGTCTTAATAACTTGGGATAAGAAGTTGTTAAACTGCAGAGCTAAAATCAGATGTGATATGGAAGATATTCATACTCTTCTTAAAGAAGGTATTTGGGATAATCTCAGTAATTTTTGTTTTTTAAAGAAAAGCCTGGGGGATTTTTTTTTTTTGTTTGATTTGTGGAGCTCAGATTTTGCTTAGTAATTTTGTCCTTGTGTTTTGCTTAGTAAAAAAAGAGAAGTAATTTGTTTCTTCCTGTAGTTTAGTGACTGTCTCTGAGGAGGTAGCACAAACCTATTTTCAGCATGGTGGTGGTGTTTACCAAGGAAGAAGTGCATGCATTGATACAAATCTTTGATCACTGCCATAAAAATATTAATAATTCAGTCTTTCAAACTTGACTCATTTTCATCATTTGGTCAGAAGTATTCATTTACATATATGTGTATATTTACATGACTGTGTATATATACTTGTATGTATTTATATGTATAGATTTATATTCTGGCTAAGTAATCAATCAATTTTCTTTCATCCATTCATTTCTTCACTAATTTTGGAGAAGTTGCTTTTATTTAGCCATTATATCGCATTTATTCTTTTATTGCTGCTATGCCATATAAGATGCCTGATATTTAAGAATTTTAAATTTAAAAATAAAACTAATAAGTCAACTTTTAGTTGCAGTTTCTGTGACTCAGATTAAATATATTAAAATTAGAATCTCCATAGCCTGCATAAACTGTGGGTGTAAAATAAAAATTCCAAAATACCCAAAGAAATTCTATAATGATTGTTGTTTTAAAAGCCTATGCTAATGTGTGAGACTGTTGAGCCACAGTTAAGTTTAAATTAAGATAAGTGTTATTTTGAAAGCTGCTGCATTGACAAACTTAATATAGTGTTCTTTATCCTTGAAGATATGGAAATCCTAAAGATTTTTACTGAATGCTTTATTTGGGAGACACAATAATGGTTAACAGAATGTCTATGAGATGTAGATCACACCATTTTTTGGCATGACTTTCAAAGATATTTTAGGAGTGCTTATCTTCCTATTTCTTATTGGATACAGTTTAAACTTCTTGGCCCTGTGCCCAAGGCCTTTGTACTAGTCCATTTTTAGGCTGCTGATAAAGACAAACCCAAGACTGAGTAATTTCTAAAGAAAAAGAGGTTTTATGGACTCACAGTTCCACGTGTCTGGGGAGGCCTCACAATCATGGCGGAAGGTGAAAGGTGTGTCTCACATGGAGGCAAACAAAAGAGAATGAGAACCAAGTGAAAGGGGTTTCTCCTTAACAAGCCATCAGATTTCATGAGACTTACTCACTACCACAGGAACAGTATGGGGGAAACTGCCCCCATGATTCAATTATGTCCCACCGGGTCCTTCTCACTACACATGGAATTATGGGAGCTACAGTTCAAGATGAGATTTGGGTGGGGACACAGCCAAACCATACCATTGTTCTATAATATCTACTTCCTCCTTTCTGATCTCATTTTGTTATCTCTCCTTACCTTGTATTGTGTGCTCTATTTTACTTTGAGCACTGATATGTCCTTTGCTATTTCTTGCATGGAATGTTCCAGCCCTCCCTATTCTCCTTCTTCCTTACTTCTCTACATTCTCATTTCCCATCTCCCTTTCTTTCCACTCCATCCTCTTCTCACTCCTCTTTCTTCCGCCCTTTCCTCTGCCCGTCTCAGGGCCTTTATGCGGTCCTCTCCTGGAGTGACTGCTGCCTGCGCTTTAAGCCCAGAGCATCCTATTATCCCTCAGGTCCCTCAAATACCATTTCCTCAGAGCACCACCCCTGCCCCCCGACCAAAATCAGTTCATTGTACTTTATCATTCTTTTTCGTGATTTATTATACTTAATCATAATTTACAGTTTAATAATTATGTGTGTATTTGTTTAATGTTTTTCTTACCCCACCACTGCACACCTAGCACCTAAGACAGTATCTTGCACTCATTACTAGATGAATGAATGGATGAATGAATGAATGAGATGATTTTCCTGAGAATGGATTTATTCATCACTCAATGATGAGGCATCCTGACTGCCTTGCTTTATTCTCTGTTACATACTGGATGCTCAATAAATGTTTGTTTGACTGGAATGAAGTTGCTTTTTGTACATTTATTATTGGTTGGATAATAAAACTGCCCACTCATGTTATCAGTGATTCATTTAGTGGGCTGATAGTTACCTTCTAAAAATGACATTTTCTATGCTGTCATTGATTCATTCAACAAATGTATAAGCAGCAAGGTATATTCTTGGATTTTATCATACAGAGATGAAAATATGCTTGCTATTCTCAAGGACCATTTAAGCCGGGAAAAGAGACAAAACTTCAATATAGAGCTAACTGTAATCTAATATGGTAATGTTACAGTATGAGTCAAATGGTGTGTGAAAAGGGACTGATTACATCTCGAGATGTTAGGGAGAGCTTCAAAAGAAAAGGTGACACTCAAGCTCATTCATGAAAGATGAATAGACGTACAATGGGAAGTCAAGCGAGGGAGCTTGGAATTCCATAAAGGCAACAGGAGGTGCAAGAAACTGGAGAAGTGAAAATAACCACAAGCGTCTAGTATACATCAGGGACTGGGAAGTAATGGTGCTTAAAAAGGTAGTTTGGAGCTATATTGTAGAGGCCTCATAAGTCATGCCAACGAGCCTCAGTTTCACCTGTCGGACAATAATACTTTCAGCTTGTACAAACTCTGGCAATCAGTCAGAAGAGATTACTGTCATTAAGCATTTCCTTAACCAGCTGGAGCAAAGGAACCCATTGCCGATTCAATGTGTCCAAACTGAAAACTCTTAGTGAGTGAAATAAAGTTGCCTGCACTGTGCAGAATTGAATTCTGTCCCTCCCAGTGCTTACTTCATTTCCCTTGGCATAAAAAACATAGTCATAGTGTCCTTGAACTGCTTGTGATACATTTTGGTGTTCAAGCATACTAGAGTTAATGTTTCATTATATGTGCTAAGCATTTTCTTTTCAAAGCCCGAATGTTGTTCTGGAGCATATCAGTTACGCCTTCTTATTGTTTACTACTTATATTATTTCTTTTTTTTTTAGACAGAGTCTCGCTGTGTCTCCCAGGCTGGAGTGCAGTGGTGAGATCTCAGCTCACTGCAACCTGTGTCCCCCAGGTTCAAACGATTCTCCTACCTCAGCCTCGCGAGTAGCTGAGATTACAGGTGCATGCCACCATGCTCGCTAATTTTTGTATTTTTAGTAGAGGCAGGGTTTCACCATGTTGGCCAGGCCGGTAATGAACACCTGACCTCAAGTGACCCACCCACCTTGGCCTCCCAAAGTGTTGGGATTACAGGCATGAGCCACCGTACCTGGCCTATTCTTTCATTTTTAATGCCCATATAAGAATGCTATTTGATTCTCTATTATAAAGTTACTTGTTGATGACAAATATTTAGAGTTGTAAATTAGGTTTAGCATTTGTTGCTATCCTCAAGCCAGATAAAGAGTGAAAATAGGCAGTAATACACTTTGGGATATCAGGATTTGGCCTCTGAAACCAGACTTTTGGAGTTCTAATTCTAAACTGCCACTTCCTAGCCATGTGAACTTGGGGCAATTACTTCATCTCTTTCTGCCTCAGCTTTCTGTCTATAAAGTGGACCTAATAGTAATTGCCTACCTTATAGTTGAGTTGTTTTCTGAGTGCATGTGCTTAGTAGCTAGGCACCCTCAATAAATGTTTTATTAATGCTCAGTCAGCAACGGGTGATGTTATTGTTAATATTGTCATTATCGTAAGTGTTGCGTGAGGGTTTTCTTTTGCAAGGCATCAAGAGCTATAGGATTCAGCTTGTCAAAATATGCTTCTGTCAATTATATTGTGTGGTCTTAGGGTGGCATGCAGTACATACAGCTGCCTGTTTACCAGAATTATATAGTGAATCAGCTGGGATCTATCAACTTCATTCCAGAGTTCAAGGCCTTGGTTATTTATCTCCTTCATTGTAGGAGTTCCCAAAAGTCGACGAGGAGAAATTTGGCAGTTTCTGGCTTTACAGTACCGACTCAGACACAGATTGCCTAATAAACAACAGCCTCCTGACATATCCTATAAGGAACTTTTGAAGCAGCTCACTGCTCAGCAGCATGCGATTCTCGTGGATTTAGGTATGTTTGTCATGTGGATTATAATTTACAAAAGTAAACAGCTGATCCCTCTGTTAAGTTTTTTTGGTTTTTGTTTGTTCTTGGTGCTGATAAAGAGCACCTGTTGGCATATGCAGAGCCGTTGACTTTGTCCTTTACTGAGGGCAAGTTGGCCTTATACCTGATTGACGATCCCATAAATGCCTGCGTGTTAAATGAAGTTTTCACCCCAAAACTTTGCCTCTGCAAAGGGAGCCATCTTATATTTAAATTATTATAAAGGTCATATTATGGGGTGCTCTCAGTTACTGCATTTTGAACAACTGACTTTTTAGGGCAGATAGTTGTATCTTAATCAATGCTGGTTTTGAAATAGCTTAGAATAGGTTAAAAATTTAACAAAGGTGTACTAGGTATTCCTGGACACACTGCTGAAAACAATCCTTTATATGTCACTTTAAAAAGCAGCATGATAAATGGTTATGTTGGTGGAAATTATGACTATACACCTATAGGGTGAGTGAAACATTAGTTGCACTAATAGTGTAGGAATGGGTACTCATGACCTGGCGGAGAATTTCCAGTGACAGAATCATAAAGCAGTCTTTTTTTTTTTTTTGAGATGGAGTCTCCCTCTGTTGCCCAGGCTGGAGTGCAGTGGCACGATCTCTGCTCACTGCAAGCTCCGCCTCCCAGGTTCATGCCATTCTCCTGCCTCAGCCTCCTGAGTAGCTGGGACTACAGGCACCAGCCACCACGCCCGGCTAATTTTTTTTTTGTATTTTTAGTAGAGATGGGGTTTCACCGTGTTAGCCAGGATGGTCTCAATCTCCTGACCTCGTGATCCACCCGCCTCGGCCTCCCAGAGTGCTGGGATTACAGGCATGAGCCACCGTGCCCAGCCAGCAGTCTTCTTAAATGCTGATTTTCAAATAACTTATGGAAATAAAAATGCTTTGATTTTTAAAGATTGTATTGTCTCTAATTTTTCTCTAACATACTTTATTATTTAAAAATATCTACATTATTAGATTAAATATTATATATTGGCATTTGACCACTTTATTTGTACTCCTAAAAGTTGATATATGTCAGGTGGCCAGATATGTTATTTGGGCCCATTTGGGAAAATACAAGATTACCTTATGTTTGGGGTCATCTTATATTAGGGCATATGAAAAATCACTAGCCAAACCCTAGTTTTTACCTCTGTTCCTTTTGGATGACAAATGGCTCTTACTGGGAAAGGACCCAGCTCAGTTAATTATTTTTTTGAGCCCAGCGGAATTAAAAAGGGGATTTTACAGAGAAACTGAAAATGAGTTTTTGTGCTGATTGTGCCACTAATTGTGGTCTTAGACATATTACCTTCCTTCTGAGCGTCCATCCTCTCTACTAAGTGGGGACATTGAACAAGGCAATCCCTATGTTCCCAAGCAAATCTGTGGTTCTCTGACCATAAATTGATGATACAATCAGGGTTAGTCACGATGTCCTATTAAAGAGAGAAAATGAGATCATATTACAGTCAGACAAAAATGGAGCTAGAATCAAGTTAATGGATAGAAAGTGTATTTATAGTTTTCCTTAGTAAAAATTTTAAGTGAGAAAGTAAAACCATAATTTTAAAAATTGCTTATTTGGCTCTGCTTGTAGCCATCTGTGTTTCTTCAGCATGCAATTGTTATTTTCTCATATCTTCCTCTTACTGGCTCTGCAGAATTAATCTTATTGGTTCCTAGAAAAAAAAATCACTTTTAAGCATATGTGGGAGAAAACATTTTAAAACCTGGCACTCTTGCAAGTTCTAAATGACATGAGTAATCATTTCACAAGGAAGCTAACATCCCCCTTCATTTTTGTGGCCCTAGAAAAATGCCCATACCAATATAGACAGCTTTGATGTGAAGACGGATTTGTTTCTGTGTATAGAACTCTCCTTTTAGTGATGCAGGACTCACATTGCCAGCTCAAGTGTCTCTGTGGTAATTTTATACCTAGAGGTATATTTTAGAGGGGAATTTATTTGAAATTGACTTGACCCTTTATTTTCCTTGATATTTTTAGATATTGAAAAAGAAAAGTGGTTTACATGGCTCATGGAGGTATTTTAAGAGCAGAGAGCGAACGATAGTTGAAAAAGCAGTTTTCTTCTGAATGACAGTCTGAATGTAAAGTCAAACAAACCCAAAAAGTCCCTCCAGTGTCATAAGAAAAGCAGAAATAAACCTGTTTATAGACTATGAAGATTTTCTTTTAAATAATATAATATGTCTTACAGACTTCTGGTTTCATTTAGAAGGTAGTCTTTATATGAATTAGAATTTGCCTTGCTTTATAGTCAGAATAAAATTTATATTCCATTTTCCTGGTATTTCTCCTGGGTACATCATTGGTTTGTGGATTTTTATTGTATTTTTTTTTTTTTTTTTTTTTTTTTGCTGGAAAGAAGTACTGGTTAGCATAAAATGTTTCCTCCCATATCGTATATGTGAAGATGGTATGGTGGCCTGGCAGAACTTGGGGTGAGAGAGGGAGAGACTCTTAGTTACATGGTGACTCTAAGCAACTCTCACTGGTTTGGGAAAGAGTGTCTGTTTATTCTTGGAGGTCACTGAATTGCAATTTCACTGTTGTCTCCAAGGCATGAGGACATTTCAAAAAATATTTTCCTTCTTTTCCTCTGCAGGAAGGACGTTTCCTACTCACCCTTACTTTTCAGTACAGCTTGGGCCAGGACAGCTGTCACTGTTTAACCTCCTGAAAGCCTATTCTTTGCTGGACAAAGAAGTGGGATACTGTCAGGGGATCAGCTTTGTGGCTGGAGTCCTGCTTCTGCACATGAGTGAAGAGCAAGCCTTTGAAATGCTGAAATTCCTCATGTATGACCTCGGCTTCCGCAAGCAGTACAGACCTGACATGATGTCGCTGCAGGTGAGGCACTTGTGCTTCCCGAGGAAGGTGTGAGACTATTACCAGAAATCCTGGCCCTCTTCTCAATTATTACAGTTCAGATTTAAAGAAATGTAGAGCCATTGTCTTAGAACTTGGGTAAAGATTGGGGCATGTTTTAGTTCACTTAGTGTGGGATTTGCTATTTAGGTAAACTTCTAAGTGTATGAGACCCAGAGGCAGAATACCTTTTCCATAAAATTCCTGAAGTAAGTAAATAAGTAATTTAAGAAAGGTAGGTGATGAGGACCCAGTCCTTTATGCCCTAAGTCTATGGGTTACATGGAGAAGGTATCAAATCATCTTTATTCACTTTTTCTCAACTTCTCAGTTGAAAAGGCTCACAGATCTTTTGTTTACAATCTGAAAGTATCTTTATCCCTTTACTTTTGAGTACACAAATAGCAGATACCATGTTATGGTTCTTTTTGAACTTATCATTGATATCTCCCCTCCTTTATCTTCATGTAAGATAGGCCTTTACAGAGGAAAAAGTGTGAAAGCCAGTGGTGCCTTTTCAGTCTGCTTTGTGTGTGTGTGTGTGTATGTGTGTGTGTGTGTGATGGAATCTTGCTTTGTTGCCCAGGCTGGAGTGCAGTGGCACGATCTCGGCTCACTGCAATCTCTGCCTCCCGGGTTCAAGCCATTCTGCTGCCTCAGCCTCCCCAGTAGCTGGGATTACAGGCAGGTGCCACCATGCCTGGCTAATTTTTTTGTATTTCTAGTAGAGATGGGGTTTCACCATGTTGGCCAGGCTGGTGTTGAACTCCTGACCTCAGGTGATCCGCCCGCCTCAGCCTCCCAGAATGCTGGGATTACAGGCTTGAGCCACTGAGTCTGCTTTTCTTAGCAGGCTCTGAAGAAGCACCATTAAGATTTTCCAGGTATTTTGAGTGGGGTATTAACTGCCACTGCTGTCTTTAGCCTACCTCAGACTCCCTGTTTGCACATTTCTCTCCTAGTTTTCACTTCTCTAAGTGGGTTGGTTGCTAATAAGCAGTTTAAATTTTGTCTATAGATACTTAAACAACCACTGCCTGGCAATTTAAAGCTTTCAGTGGTTAAAAATATAAAAGAAGACTTTAAAGAGGATTCTCAGGTTTTTCCTCCCTTGAAATGAGGTATGCATGACTCCCAGTTCATCATAATACTGTGCTTTAGATAAGAAGTAATAGTTTAAAGATGCTTTTAAAATATACTATTTTTTTCTGTTTCCCAGAGATGAGTTTTTTGCCTTTAATATCTCAGTTGCCAATGTATAACAAAAGAATTGTATTTTTAGTCTGAGCGTTATAGTAAATGATATTTTTTGAGAGTATGAATGGAGATGAAGTATTCCATTTTTCTTTACTTTCTGAAGGTAAAATTTTGACTGGGGAGATAGGGCTTTGCTATCAACATTAGGTTTTCTGGTGTGAGTTCATATGATTTGATTCCTCATTGATGACTATTCGTAGGTTTAACAAGTCAAATAACAACTGTGGAAAGTTTTATTTTTTATTCCTAAAGAGTTTACCTGTATCTTTTTATCTTTTTATCGTTTTTTTTTTTTTTGGAGACGGAGTCTTGCTCTGTCACCCAGGCAGGAGTGCAGTGGCGCGATCTTGGCTCACTGCAACCTCCACCTCCTGGGTTCAAGTGATTCTCCTGCCTCAGCCTCCCGAGTAGCTGGGATTACAGGCATGCACTACCATACCCTGCTAAATTTTTTGTATTTTTAGTAGAGTTGGGGTTTCACTGTGTTGGGCAGGCTGGTCTCAAACTTCCGGACCTCAGGTGATCCACCTGCCTTGACCTCCCAAAGTGCTGGGATTACAGGCGTGACCCACTGTGCCTGGTCACCTGTATCTTAATATCAGATAGGAATCAGATGGTCTTGTAAGGAATTCAATAATTCTGATTTTCAGAAACAACGGTTTGGTAGCTATTATTAGAATTTCAAAGATACAGGGAAGTACCTGTGAGTAGTGTTTGATCTGGGTCCACAGATAAAAGGATAATAGCTATCAGTTTAAAAATACAATGATATTTCAACTTAAAAATTATTCATCAATTTGACATTACAAAAATTCATGTAAATCGGATTTATACATTCATTTAATATGGACTGTAAGTACCAAGAAGTATTTTATGTCTATAATTTTGAAAATGCAGATGTTTAAAAATCTTTGGTGACAGCATTGCTGTAGGCCGCAGTATTGGGGACCTTATTCTGGGAGAGTAGGTCCTTTTGCATTTTAAAGTGAGATATAACACTTTTCCACTTTCTAGAGCAGGAGGTACTGTTTTGGGTATAGCCAATAGGATGTTTAGAAGTGTGCTTAAATGCCTCTTGCAGTGGGTTTGGACTCACTCCACAGGATTTCTGATTTCTTGCTTCTCTCTTGGTGGCTTGGGTGCTCCAGGCTTCAGTTACCTTATCTGTAAAATGTGTAAAATCTTGCTTCAGTTACCTTATCTGTAAAATGTGGGGGTTGAGGTCTTTTTCAACTTTAAATACATGTATCTTGTCACGTTTGTTTCTGCTGCTTTCTGTGTTAAGCATAAAGACATTATATCTTTTCCTCTGAAGTTTTTGGTCTCTACTTTTTTTTCATCTTCTCTCCCCTACCCTTATCTCTCTCTGTGCATCTTTCCTTCTCCAGTTCACCTCTTTAATCTGCAGGTTTGCCTTGGTATCTATAAGGTGGAATTGAAGAATTATTTGTTCTTAGAAAATAGAATTTTATCATTAAAGCTTTCTTTGAAGGAAGCCTGAATTGTGTTCTTATTTGCCCAAATATCCCTTGATGGAAGAAACTCTCTTAACTCCCATTTGAGTATGTGCGGCAGGGTAGGTGGGAAATAAGATTCTCTTTAAAAAATTACATGTTGAAGTATTGCTTCTTTTTATAATCACAAGTGAACAAGAACAGTGTGCTTTTGATGACGTGCTTTCTTTTTATGCTGCTAATTAGACTTTTTTGATTTTTGTGCTTACCAAAATACTAACTCTTTTGTTGATAGATGCTCAGAATTTCTCGTTTCTACGATGTAAATGGTCTAAAGGAAATGTATGTTTTTTTTCAACATGATTTTTTGAGATAATAATCTCATTAAAAAAAAACTTTGACTCCAGCTAAGCTTCTTATTTTATAGCTATGACTTCCTGTGGCTCTTTAACTCCCTTTTATTTACAGTTTGTGTGGAAACGGAGTTTCTAAAGATATTTGTTGTGGATAAGGATTGAACAAACAATTTTTTGTATTTTTGCATAGTTTTTGATTTTTTTCCAAAGGAGTCTGTTGATTTTTAGTTCTGTACTCTAGAAATAATTGTTGAATTCACAACATAATTGGTTATTTTTATGTATTGTCATAGAGCTATTTAAGAGTGATGTTTTAATAATTTCTTCTAGTGAAAGAAGTTCTGCTAGATTTAATAAAACATTTTATACATTTTTACACCAAAATATCAAGCCAATATAACTGATCAGGGAACCATCACTTATCTCTTAACTGTGTGGATAAAAATTTAAATTAAAACACAATTCACAAATTTGTTTGTTACTTACTACTGCTTTATCTGTAGTATCACAGATATGAGTTTAAAAGTTTCTGTATGCTGTCTTTATGATGTTTTCTGAAATGCCAATAACCAACTCAGTAGCCAAATGAAATAATTTTTTCTTTTAGTTCTAGAAATATTCAGAAACAACTGCACTTTTTGCCTTAATCACGTTTGTCATGAAAAATATGCTGCTGGAATAACTTGAATATTAGAAATAAATCTCAAGCTTCTGGCCCTGTAACATTCGAAGCTTTAATTCTCTCCTAGCAGTGCAGATTGTCTGGAGAGCCAGAACTCTTTCATAAATCACATGCTGGTCTCAGTAAATAGAAATAAGCTTCTGCACTGAACATGGTAGATTCTTTAGAATGGAGGCTTTTCTGGAATTAGTCTGAAATTAGAAGGGATTTTCTATGAGGTTCCTGAGCCAGGACTGTTCTCATTAAATTCCAAAAGCAATGCCTCCCTACAGAAGAAAAAATTCCATTTCTTTGTATGTATGTGATGCTCAAACACACGTGATAGAGAAACTTGCTCAGTCTTCTTAGATAGACTTTCAGTGACTTGCTTTATGAATTCAGTTAAGTGAACTTGGATTTTAGTATCAACTTTAAAATCATAAAAATAAAGTAATACTACTTATATATGTGAATTTGTTATTAAATATTAGAATAAAATTAAAATCAGTGTGTTTGATGCACATGCAGATAAATGCATAATATTTTTTTTCTTCTCCAAATTAACTTTAGATTCAAATGTACCAGCTGTCCAGGCTCCTTCATGACTATCACAGAGATCTCTACAATCACCTTGAAGAAAATGAAATCAGCCCCAGTCTTTATGCTGCCCCCTGGTTCCTCACATTGTTTGCCTCTCAGTTTTCATTAGGATTTGTAGCCAGAGTTTTTGGTAAGAGATACCTGTAATTAAATGGAACAGTATTATTTATTCCAAGGACTATACTTCTACTTCTAGCCATATGATGCCCCTATTGTTCTATCATGTGTTATACAGAATAGCAAATTGCTAATGGAATTTAATAAATGTGCCTGGCTGTGTTCTGACAGTAACTTAAAATCATACTTGTCTTACATAAAATTGAAATTAAAAAGGAAAGAGGAATTGGGCTCCTGTATTTGAGTCAGCTGTAATGGAGCTCTTATTTTCATTTGTGCCTAAAAATCAGAGAGTATACTCCTAAAATCTGGACTAGGGACAGACTGTGTATAATTTTCCAGATTTTTATATACATGTTTCTACCCCCATTGTCTTCTTCATCTTGCATTCAAAACACAGAGAAATATGTTCTTAACTGTATCAATGTTGTTTCTAATGGCATTTCTTAACCTGACTTTTTGTTGTTAACAGAATAACTTTACATCCTGTTTCATTGCTCATGTGACTCTTCTTTCATGCCAATGCAGTGCTGGGGGACAGTCTCTAAGACTGGTGGCTCAGGGAAAACACTAAGTACAGTCAGTAGAGCTCAGGGCAAGTTACTGAGTAACTGCCTTGCTCTAAGCACAGTGTTTGGCATTGGGAATAAAAAGAGAGTGTAACATGGTTTATGTCCCCTTTGGAGGCCCTTAAATCTATTCACAAGTCTTTATACTAGTCTAAGTCTGTTATTTAAAAAGCAAAAATTAAAACAACAACAACAACAACCAACTCTTCATCAGAGGTTTGTTCTAATGATGTTGTTTAGGACCTCAGTAGCCTTAGAAAGGGCTCCCTTAATTTTTATGTTCTGATAATCTATTTAGTAGACATGGGCAAAGCAGTCAGTATTCACTCACAACTGCACTTCTGTTAAATTGGAGCTTTTTGTCAAATTGTATTGGCGCCATTGTAGGTCATTGCCAGTGTTTGAAAAAATGAAACAGCATTTAGTGAAGATATTAGGGAATATTACAAATAGTAAGGAAATATGTTGTTTGGAGAAATTTGTTTTGAGGATATATGTGTAATGTATATATATACCAGATTACAACATATGATATCTTTCTTATTGAGGGCTGTGGTTTAAAAGTTAAACACTGCATTAGTGTTACTACAATTTATAAAATGCAGCAAAAGAGTAAAGTGAAAATGCGCTGAATCAAATGTTCACCAGATTTCTCTTGTTTATTGAATATACACTATTGCTTTTCTACAGTGACATTTTCTCTGGAGCTTGGGTTCCTATTAATGGGTATTCTATAAATCCTTTTGTTTATATACATTTTTCTTCCCAGAGAATAGTGTATCAAATCAAAATGATGTTTCAGGGCACCTCTCTTTTACTTACCCTTGGAAGCTTGATATCAAGAGTTCAAGAAACAAATGTCCTCAGTATCAGTTTTTTGTCATGAGAATACAAATGATGCTGTTGGCTATACAATAGCTGTTCAACTCTCTTCTTTGAATTTATAAAACAATGGAGACTGGCAGGAAATGGAAAGATGCATGAGCAAGAAGAATTACTATGAAATAATGATTCTATGGTTCCCTCTTCATTAAAGACTCCCTGTTGTATATTATTGATTAAAGAATGACATAGATTGAGAGAAACTTTCATAAAAAAGTACTAAGTACTTGATACTTTTATTTCTTTCTTTTTTTATTTTTCTAAGACTGAGTCTTGCTCTATTGCCTAGGCTGGAGTGCAGGGCACAATATCAATTCACTGCAACCTCTGCCTCCTGGGTTCGAGCGATTCTCCTGCCTCAGCCTCCCGAGTAGCTAAGACTACAGGCATGTGCCACCACACTCAGCTAATTTTTGTATTTTTCGTAGAGACGGGGTTTCACCATGTTGACCAGGCTGGTCTGTAACTCCTAGCCTCAAGCCATCCACCCACCTCAGCCTCCCAAATTGTTGGGTTTACAGATGTGAGCCAACACGCCCGGCCTAGTACTTGATACTTTTCAAAAGTATTGCATGTTTGTATTTGTAGGAAAGCAGGGCTTAGAGTTAGGGTAGCTCTTATATTTCTCTCCTGATTGAGGTTGTATGTTTTTCATTTGTTTTAATTTTTCTGTTAATGTTTTTTTTTTTTTAATTTCCTGGTGTGGTATAGATTTAATTACATAGCTGGTTCATTTACTTTTTATTATGGTAATGAGAGTTTGAATAGTACTCATTGGTTATGTTAATTTGTTTTTGTATTCCTGTTGTGAAGAAAAATCTAAATATCAATTGAATAACTGTCCTTGAGGTTTACCTAGTCTCCATTAAATTTGGCATTAAAAATTACAAGTAGTTCATGGACAGAGATATATACTTTGTCCTTTTTTACCCTGGCTTTATCTGAGATTCTTAAGAGGAATATTAAAACATCTGCTTATATGTTTAGTTATATTGCTTTTTTAAAAAAAAGCTAGATGCTTTTGACCAGTTTTCTTCTGCAAAATACATAAAACAAGTAAACAAAAACCTTTAGCACAAATAGCGTGCTTTTTACAAGAGTGGATGCATAGTTTTGATCATGAAAATTATATCTCTTCTTTTAGATATTATTTTTCTTCAGGGAACTGAAGTTATATTCAAGGTTGCACTCAGCCTACTGAGCAGCCAAGAGACACTTATAATGGAATGTGAGAGCTTTGAAAATATTGTTGAGTTTCTTAAAAACACGCTACCTGATATGAATACCTCTGAAATGGAAAAAATTATTACCCAGGTATGATTTAAATGCTAATAGTATTATATAGCAGTTTTCTCTACTGAATATATATTAAATGCTTTAGCCTAAAAATGTAGCTTTGCTTGACAGATATTTTCATCAGATACATTTTATTTAGAAAGGGGACTATTGTGAAATTTCTACACTGTGACATTTTCTATCTGGCTATGCACAAAAAATGCTGTTTAGTGCTACGTAATGAGTTTTTCAGGAATCCTTTCAATTTAAACCAATGCTAAAACTGAAGATAGAACTGACAGAGTCAAGAAGGCCTGAGAATAAAATCAGATCCTCTTGCCTTTGTTATATTGTTAATTATTTTGTAAAATAAACGAAGAGGACACGTGGCAGGAGTACAGGCTTTGGAATTAGAAGGTATTGGGTTTGCATCTACTTCTGGCTTTTTAATTGGTTGTTTGGCTTGCACACATCAGCCTAATCATCCAAACCCTAGTTGTCCAGAATGGGACAGTACTGGACAAGTTCCAGAATGGGATGATACTGATCTGAGAGGTTTTATGAAGCTTCAGTGAGGAGACTTGGTGTATCAGTCTTTGTCCCTACAGGAAACATTCTCCCTCCGATGATTCAAATGAAGGAACCATCTATAAAGGTGTGGGTAGGCGTAAGGCAATCCAACACAGCTGTCCAGGTGCGAAGGAACTAGTAACATAGGGAAGCTGTTCAAACCCCTGCTGCAGAGGAGCTAAGTGGAGGATATAATAGTGTTACTAGGCCCAGGGAGAGCTGGAACCGTGGAGGAGGGTTCTGTGCTGGTTGTTGTGGTCTTGTTGAACTAGGCAGAGAAGGATCAGGGAAGAAATACCCAACCCTTTTCTCCTGCCCCTTCTGATCTTGTGCTGGCATCTTCTATTTGCCAAAGTGAACCAGAAGCCAGCCAGAAAGTAAGTGTGGGGAATTGTCTGCCTGCCAGGGTACAATAGAATGGATGAGGGCAGAGAATTGATCTGAGAAGCAAATTGAGAGTAATCTGCACACCGTATGTGTAGTCCTTGACTCTTCATAGGGACCAGGTGAGTGGTAGCTATATATTGCTGCCGTTCAGATGCAGTGGACAAGCTTAAGAGCAGCTTGATAGATTTGACAATTATGCTTTATGAGCATTGATAAAGTTTACCACTTTCCTGAAGGCACTTTTGATGGCAGAAAGACGATAGGGTTTAGAGAAAGGGAGTTTGGAACCTTGTTCTGGTGCCCAGCCATTTACTAGCTGTGTACCTATGGGCAAGTTACAACCTCTCTGAGTCTCAACCTCTTCCTCTACAAAATGGGAATAACAAAAGTAGATTCTATTATAGTTTTGTATTATTTTAGGAGCAAATATAACCAATATGTTAAAGTATTTTGTACCCTGTAATTCATACTATAATATGAACTCTTATTATATTAATACATGTAAAATTTTATTTCCATTACATGGAATCTAAATCACAAATATCTATAAATAGTTTGTATTTGTTAAAATGCTCTGTAAGCTGAAAAGTGTAGCTTTTATTTATATATTCACTTGTTTATAAATTTTTCAGAAATATCTTTCTTGACTGGAATCAGATATTATGCTTTTAGAGATTTGAAATCAGATATCACCTCCCTTCTAAAATTAATGAGGAAATTGCCTGGCTTTATAGATTACTATTGGGATTAATGAGTAGAATTTATAGGCAGGTAAATTTGAACTTGATATTGGAGAGAATTTACTAACAATTAGAGTTGATTACTGTGGAATGAAATGCTGATATTAAGGGAGACTTTGATGAACTTTATTTATGGACACTGGAAAAAAATGCAAATAATGCAGAAAATCACAAGAAAATAAAAGTAACTATAAATCTCAACATCTAGAGATAATCTTTGAAACTTTGTATTACATGTTTCTTTGCTTATATATACATATAAAAATATATAAAGTTGTACATAAATGAAATCATACTATATATACTATTGTGGAACCTGATTTATAATTAAAAATATAAAGTATTAGATTTTTTCCAGTAACTATAAATCCATATTATCATTTTTAATGGTTGTATAATAATCCATTGTATCCATACCCACTAAGTAAGGAAAAGATGATGGTTATTTGAGGATAACCAGTTAGTCTAGAAATTCTCTTATTAAAATTCGAATGTTTGAGTATCTCTATTAGTAAGTAGTAGAGTAAGTCAGGTTTTTTGTGGTTTCTTTTCTCTTCTCAGTGTTAGTATAGACACCATTGCTTGAATAGCAGCTGTTGTCTCTCCTTCCCCCTAGGAAGTTTGGAGTAACTGTCCTCTAGCTTCAAAGCAAACGACCTTCCTATTTAGTGGTGACATGGGAGAGCAGTAGCAGCCCTAATTAAACCTTACAGCCCTGGACAGTGCTCACAGTGTGCAATTTTGAGGATTCTCTGTGTGGTACAATATGTAAATGACTCTTAAGAGGCTTACAGGGAATAGCAAATGGATGCAAAATTTTATTAAGATCTTTCTGCTCCATTGGCAAATAAATTAGAAATGCTTTTGGTTGCTTTATTACAGTAATACCCTATGCAATTTTGCTTACTAATCAGCAGAGATTATCTCTAACATAATAATTACTCAATAACTAATGTTGTTTATCTAGTATACTACATTTTGGGAGACAGTTACTAGATTATGAATATCTTAGCTGCCAAATACACTTGGACATTAATTTATTCTAGGGACTTAGCTTCATGAGAATGTTTCAATTGCATAGAAATAATCTATCTGTTCTGTTTTTAAAGAAAATCTTCTTTCACAGAAAGAGCTATCTGTTTTTATGTTGACAGTGTAAACTATATCTAATTTATTCTTGTATTGACAGTTACACTTTTTTTTTGCTTTTTTATGCTTTAATGTTCTTCATTAATAAGTATTTGGAAATATACATGAAATATACCAAGATAAACAGGCTGTATCTTGTTATACATACCAAAGGCTAGCCTAACCCATGATACTTTCATGGCAGGTTTTTGAGATGGATATTTCTAAGCAGTTGCATGCCTATGAGGTGGAATATCATGTGCTACAGGATGAGCTTCAGGAATCTTCATATTCCTGTGAGGATAGTGAAACTTTGGAGAAGCTGGAGAGGGCCAATAGCCAACTGAAAAGACAAAACATGGACCTCCTAGAAAAATTACAGGTAAAGAAATAAAGATTTGAGCAAATAAGTACTTCAATGCCTCCTGCATGCACAGAACTACCTCAGGAATGAAAGGGATATGTGCGTGGAATGAACCATTGCTAACCAAGAGCCCATGTATCAGACTGTCCAAGTGCTCTGGGGCTACAAATGACATGTTAAATTAAACATTACTTGGAAAAAAATGCACCCTCACAAAATAGCTAAATGGCAGTTCAAAGTGGAATCTGCTTAAATACCTGTTGCATGTTATAGATATTTGGTTAAATTAAAGGGAGGAGGAATTGAATGTAGGAAATTGATGAAGTTGTGAAGGACCTGGGCTTGAGCTGGAATCTGGAGGGTTGGTGGAAGAAATGAGTGAGGAGGGTCTTTAAGTCAGGCTGAGTAGGAGGGTGGCATCAATCAGAAGGACATGGCAGAGCAGCAAAGTTAGCCTAGTGTCAATTTAAGATAGAGGTTGGGGAGAGGTAGGGTAAATATGATAGAGGCAGAATCGTAAGTGACTTTCAGTGTCAAGCCAAAGAACATGGCTTTAATCCTGTCAAGAGGGAAATCTCTCAAAGTTTTTGGGCCATGCTGTAGAAAGATCAATCTGGGAACCTTGACGAGGACAGATTGAGATGGGAGAGAAGGTAAGGAGGCCTGCTAAAAGTCACTTGTGAAAATCTGTTGCGGATGATGAGAGTTGTCTAGACTAAAATGGAAATTGGAAGAGAGGGAGACATGTCTAGGTAAATTGAATCCCATGCAAATGTTACATGTAATATTAATACATCATTCCTGCCATCAGGGAGTTCACAATTATTTGAGAATATAAAATACTATATATCTGTCTCTAAGCGCACACTTATACATGCAATAAGAAATTTATTATAAAGTCATATTCGGTATTTGCAACTTGTATGATGTGTGCTATGTAGCCATGCCCTGAGGGGAGGGGCTTAAGAGTGATCACAGGATGGGGGCTAGCAGGTGACCCTTCTGAAGTCTTCGGGGAGATGACTTCAGGGGAGTTTCAGTGTCTAATGGCTCCTCGGTTTCCACTTACTCCTCCTCTCCATTTCCCCAACACTGCACCTGGCTACAAACTGGAAAACACTAAAACTCTGCTTCTATATGGTGAGTCCCCTGTCAAGACCAGTCAAGAGAGACAGGTTAGAAATGAGGGATCTCTAAAGTAGTTGCTTCCCAAGAATGGGAACACTAAACTTCCTTCGCTTTGTCTTACATTGGCTCTGGCTCATAGAAAATGTAAATCTTTTTTTCTATTCAAAAAAGGGCAACATACTCTATTTTCAAAAAGAAAACTAAATGGTTAGTATATTGTCCATTTTTAGTTGGATAGGTCAATGGCGATTAATTATTTGCCCCTTATTAGGGAAGGTGGGTTTGTACCTGTTTTATAATGATTCGTCTGAACTGTTGTAGACTTTTTCACTGACAGTTCAGTGTAGTCATCATCAGTTACTTGGCCACCCCTCACATCTATAAATACTGATGAAAGCCCAAGTGTATGTTTAGAGAACGCCGTATTTCAGTCAGAGAAGGAAAATCTCTTTTAGCACTGCAATAGTGTCAGGAATCTCCTGTTTCTCCTTCAGCCAGGCCAGATCCCACTCACTCAGGGGAACACCAGTGGGTGTAGAATAAGGATTCCTACTGTTGGTGAGGGGGGTGATTTAGTATTGAATTATTCGTGTGTTCAGTGAGAAGAGATGAAGCATGGTAGTTCCATAGTTACATCTTTGTGAAACCTAATAAATCATCGTTTCCTGTAGGTTTTCAGAGTATTTGCTTCACATAATATTTTATTAAGTAATTTGAAGTAATTGGTTAATATGTGTAAGGACTGTCTCCTACTATAATGAATCATTTGATTTGGAGGATTTTTTCCCCCCCAAACAGGTAGCTCATACTAAAATCCAGGCCTTGGAATCAAACCTGGAAAATCTTTTGACGAGAGAGACCAAAATGAAGTCTTTAATCCGGACCCTGGAACAAGAAAAAATGGCTTATCAAAAGACAGTGGAGCAACTCCGGAAGCTGCTGCCCGCGGATGCTCTAGTCAATTGTGACCTGTTGCTGAGAGACCTAAACTGCAACCCTAACAACAAAGCCAAGATAGGAAATAAGCCATAATTGAAGAGGCACGGCCTCAGCAGAAAGTGCTCCTTAGAATACTACAGAGAGGAAGAGCCTGCATGTCGCTGGCCCAAGGCTGGACCCTGAAGCTGATGGAACCACCTAATACTGGTGCTGAGCGCCTAGTCACAGCAGGTGGACCTCGTGCTCATCAGAGCATGCCAATCCTAAGCCATTGGACATATGTAGACTGGTTTTTGTTGTTGCTATGTACATATAAATATATATATAAAATGAACATAGTTCATGCTTTCAGATAAAATGAGTAGATGTATATTTAGATTAATTTTTTTAGTCAGAACTTCATGAAATCCACACCAAAGGAAAGGTAAACTGAAATTTCCCTTGGACATATGTGAAATCTTTTTGTCTTTATAGTGAAACAAAGCCAGAGCATCTTTGTATATTGCAATATACTTGAAAAAAATGAATGTATTTTTTTCTCCAAAGAACAGCATGTTTCACTCAATGGTGAAAAGGTGGAAACATTTATGTAACTTTATGTGTATCTGTCTTGATATCTACTGACATTGTCTATATGAGGAAAATGATTACTGGTCATGCTCCTGTGAGTTTTTTGGGAAGGTAGGGTCATTTCTCCCTGCCTGCTTTGTGCCAACTAGCATGTTGCATCTACATGCATTATGAGTCTGGTTAGGCATTACTTTAAACATACATAAAGAGACAGTAGGACATTGTGGCTGAGTCTACCCAGCTCAAGGTAAAGGAGAATGTTGCTAATTTTTTAGCAAACTAGACCAGCATTATTACTCAAACTAAAAATATCACACCTGAAAAATTTAATTTAGGACCTAAAATGTCTAGATTAGCTTTCTGCTTTTTTTATTTGAATAACTCATTCAGTTGTGAATGAATTCCTCTTTATTTGGTGCCACAGTCACCAAATGACAAGGATTTGCCACTTTCCCACCAAATTGTGAGTGCTTGTAATTTAGGTCTCTCTACCTTAAATTCAGTATAAGGAAACGTAATTATGATTGATTTTTTCCAAAGATGACAAGCTGTGTTGAAATACATTTTTTCTTTTGACCAATTGACAGAATCTAATAAGCTTTAATAATCTTCCCCTTTTATGTGAAAAGTTTTGAGAACTGTGAAATGTTTAGGAACAAACTGTTGAAATCCATTGGAAGGGAAAAAAGAAAGTGGTACCAGTGTTACCAGCTCAACTAAAACCTGCAATTCTGCATTTCAACTCTTCACTTCCTCAGCCTACAAATAGCTCATTAGATGACATTCACGCATGCTGGGTATAGGCAAGGAAAGTAATTTTCAAAGTACATTTGCAGTTCTCTTTTTCAGAGATGATTCTATGATAGTGCCTCTGAAAGTTGATGCAGCATTTTTGCCTTTCCAAAAAGTATTTATCCTCACTGCTTTTTGCAGTACTTGTATTTTCACAGATGGATTATCTGGGGTAATTTTCTTCAAAGGGAGTTTGTTATACACAGTGAAAATGTATTATAGAGTAGAATAGTAAAGCTCTAGGGGTTTCAGAAAGCTTTGATGAACAGATGACAAACATCTGAAACCCCCTCCGCACTGTTACCCAGTGTGTATATAATGACTTGTTATAGCTCAGTGTGCCCTTGAATCCATACAGTTTCTTAAAAGACAATAAAATCTTATTAATAAAGTTAATGTAACTTCTAAGTTCTAGAAAATGCTGATTCTGTCTGCCCCATTCAATTGGGGGCTACTAATTGATTTGTTGCTTGGATTTCCTGAGAATTTCTCTATTTGTAGGAGGGGTTTTTTCTTTTTACGGTCTGTTGATGACAATTACTTTATGGGTGTGATGCACCGATGGTAGCCAAGGAATCTGTTGGGGAAGTTCGGAAAGAAACCTTTTCTTTCTTTTATTCAGTTTAAAGTAAACTTTATCCTGGATGTTTAGAATCAACATTAAGAGTTATATTATGGTGTTCAGAGATTAAGCTGACTTGGATACAATATTTTCTTTTGAAAATGAATTTTCTTTTTCATTTGTGATTTTTAAAAAATGTTGCACCAGTTATGCTTCATGCATCGTTACATCTTCATCAGGTTAATGTAATGTCTAGTTCCTTTGCAATAAATATATTGCTGCAGCTTTCTTGACGTATACTGTTACTTTTCGGGAGAGAAGCAGCTCTTGGTTAGAGTCTTTTACTGCAGGGGTCCCTGGGTACCTGTCTGTGGCCTGTTATGAACCAGGCTGCACAGCAGTGGTGGGCATGCGAGCAAGCATGACTGCCTGAGCTCTGACTCCTGTCAGATCAGCCACGGCATTAGATTCTCATAGGAGCGCAAACCCTATTGTGAACTGTGCATGCAGGAGATCTATGTTTTGTGTTCCTTAAGAGAATCGAATGCCTGATGATCTGTCACTGTCTCCCATCATCCCCAGATGGGATCGTCTAGTTGCAGGAAAACAGTCAGGGTTCCCACTAATTCTACATTATGGTGAGTATATAATAATAATATGGTGAGGATATAATAATAATAATAGAAATAAAGTGCACAATAAATGTGCTTGAATCATTGAATCATCCTGAAACCATCCCCTGCCACCAGTCTGTGGAAAGATTGTCTTCCATGAAACCAGTCCCTGGTGTCAAGAAGGTTGAAGACCGCTGCTTTACAAGATCTGCATGGTGAAACCCCATCTCTAGGGAAAATACAAAAATTAGCCAGGCGTGGTGGTGTGCATCTGTAATCTCAGCTACTCAGGAGAGTAGGAGAGGCATATATTGCTACTTATAGGAGGCTGGAGAATAGTTTGAACCTGGGAGGCGGAGCTTGCAGTGAGCTTGCAGTGAGCCATCATGCCACTGCACTCTAGCCTGGGCCACAGAGTGAGACTTTGACAAAAAAAAAGAAAAACAAACAACCAAACAAAAAAGATCTGCATGGTTTGGATTGTACCTACTTAAAATTGCTACACAAATAATTCTTCCTAATAGAGTCAGACAACAAAGATAATTTAGGAGACATTTATGTAAGTACATTGTTACCATTTTTCAACTTACTTTCTCAATGGAGACTTTTGAAAGAAAAATATAAGCAACCACATTGACAGATTTGCATTCTACCCTTTTATTTTCCAGGCCCCCTCATAGATAGCAAGGGAGAGAGAGCCACAAGAAAATACAAAATTTTCCAACTGGACGCAGATAATTAAGAATTAAGGACATTTACTGATGGATGTGATATGAATGTTTTTATATAAAATATGCATCTCTTGGAGTATTCTCATGTATATTTGTAATCCAATAAAAATACACTGTATCTTCTTGCTAACTTTAGGACTAACACTTTTAACTATTTTTTGCTTAATGTAGTAGTTAAGCATTTTGAGAAGGAGGCACTGTAGGCTTAATAGTACAGTCTCTTAATATCCATGTTGACTTTTACCCATTTTGTCACTATTTCACCAATTATTTTTTCACAGTACCAGATTAGGAGTAAGAAATCTACCATCTGATGGCATGAAGTATTTAGTCCTTCTACCATGATGTGACACTCTCATTATATTACTCATTAGCTGTGATATAATGAGAAAAGCACGGGATTTAGGGTGAGAAGTTTTATATCTGTGTCTTGGTTCCACCACTTTTATTTACTCATTCAACAAATAGTTTTTCTGAGACTATTCTAGGCTAGCTGCCTGAAATTCAGGGGTGGAGAAGATACAGTCCTTGTCCTCAAAGAGTTTGTATAGCCAAACAAGACAAAGCAAAAATAACAAATCTGGAGGCACCACATTACCTGACTTCAAACATACCGCAAGGCTACAGTCACCAAAACAGCATGGTACTGGTATAAAAATAGGCACATAGACAGTGGAACAGAATAGAGAACCCAGAAATAAAGCCAAAAACAACAACAGATCTTCCATAAAGCAAACAAAAACATAAAGTGGGAAAAGGACACCCATTCAACAAATGGTGCTTGGATAACTGGCAAGCCACATAGAAAAGGATGACCCTCATCTCTCAACTTTTACAAAAATCAAGATTTATATCTAAGACCTGAAATCATAAAAATTCTAGAAGATAACATTAGAAAAACTCTTCTAGACATTGGCTTAGGCAAAGACTTCATGACCAGAAACCCAAAAGCAAATGCAACAAAAACAAAGATAAATAGATGGAAATTAATTAAACTAAAAAGCTTCTGCACAGCAAAAGAAATAATCAGCAGAGTAAACAGACAACCCACAGAATGGGAGAAAATGTTCACAATCTATACATCTGACAAAGGACTAATATCCAGAATCTACAAGGAACTCAAATCAGCAAGAAAAAATCAATCACATCAAAAATTAGGCTAAGGACATGAATAGACAATTCTCAGAAGAGGATACACAAATGGTCAACAAACATGGAAAAAAATGCTCAATATCACTAATTATCAGGGAAATGCACATCAAAGCCACAGTACAATACCATCTTATTCCTGCAAGAATGGCCATAATCAAAAACTCAAAAAATAATAGACGTTGGCATGGATGTAGTGAAAAGGGAATACTTCTACACTGCTGGTGGGAATGTAAACTAGGACAACCTCTATGGAAAATAGTGTGAAGATTTCTTAAAGAACTAAAAGTAGATCTGCCATTTGATCCAGCAAACCCACTACTGGGTTTCTACCCAGATGAAAATAAGTTATATGTTGACTTACAGATATATATACATACATATATACACATGCACACACATATACACATACATACATATATACATATATATAAGTTTGTGTGTGTGTGCGTGTGTATATTACATTTTCTTTATCCACTCAGTGGGCATTTGGGCTGGTTCCATATTTTTGCAATTGCAAATTGTGCTGCTATAAACATGCATGTGCAAGTATCTTTTTTGTATTATGACTTCCTTTCCTCTGGGTAGATACCCTGTAGTGGGATTGCTAGATCAAATGGTAGATCTGTGTGTGTGTGTGTGTGTGTGTGTGTGTGCACACGTGGTGTTCTATATATGTGCGTGTGTGTGTGTATACACACATGGAATATAGTATTCTATGTGTGTGTGTGTATATATATACATGGAATATAGTATTCTATATATGTATATATATAGATATACCTGGAACACTACACACACACACACATATATACATGTATATGAAATACTACTGAGCCATGAAAAAGGAACGAAATAATGGCATCTGCAGCAACCTGGAAGGAGTTGGAGATCATTATTCTAAGTGAAGTAACTGAGGAATGGAAAACCAAACATATGTTCTCATTCATAAGCAGCAGCTAAGCTATGAGGATGCAAAGGCATAAGAATGATACAGTGGACTTTGGAGACTTGGGAAAGGGTAGGAGGAGGGTAAGGGATAAAAGACTACACACTGGGTGCAATGTACCCTGCTTGGGTGACAGGTGCACCAAAACTCAGAAATCACCAGTAAAGAACTTATCCATGTAGCCAAAGACCACCTGTTCTCCAAAAACCTATTGAAATAAAAAATAATAAAAAAGAAAACAAGAGAGTTTATACATTATAGTGGAAAAACAGATATGCAAAGTAGTAAAAACAAGACTCATTTCACTCAGCCTGGATGGGGGACTGGGTGGCATTGGAGTGGGTATCAAATGTGGTCTGAGGATGGGATGCTTGATCTGAGTCTGAAAGCTGCAGTAGAAGTTGACTAGGTTGTGTAAAGCAATATATGAAAGATAGGGGGTGGCACAGCAGATCCTCAAAGTGTTGTTTTATTACAACGTTCATGAGAAAAAAAGTAGATTCCCTGCCAGGGCCACTGCCTGTGTGGAGTCTGCCCATTCTCCCTTAGTCTGTGTTTGAGTTTCCTCCCAGATCTCAAGGATGTGAATTAGGTGAGCTGACATGTCTAAATGGTCGCATTGTGAGTGATTGTAGGTAAGAGTGGCCCTGCAATGGGATGGCAAGCTGGCCAGGGTTGGTTCCTGCTTGGGATCCTGAGATGCTGGGATGGGCTCCAGCGAACCAAGACCCAGAGCTGGAATAAACCAGTTGGAAAATGAATGAATGAATACAACTGATTGTAAAATAAAAATTGATAAACTTTACAATACATGTATGACACTAACGGATGCAGTATGAAAGTGCTCAGCAAGCCCTCCATGTTTGTGATGGTTTTTGAACTTCATGGTTGGAGGAGGTGTTCCTGACAATTTTTGCATTTGCAAATATTTATTCCTTGATTTTCCCCACCACAATGACAAATGCTGTTACTCGCAAGTTCACCAAAAAGGTGGCAAATGATTATCTTACTTGTTTTCATTAATCTTTTTTAAATGTATGTATAATTCACATTTACTTCAGTGTTTGATATTAGAAGTGTTTGGGGACTTCATTTAGAAGTTTGGTGATGTTTTTGTGACCAGAAACATACTGTAGGAACTTAACTTTTGTGTATATCAATTAGCTTATGATAAAATCGGTTTCCTTGTACATTGTGTCACTTAAAGTCAGTTTCCAAGAATCTTACTATTGCCGGGTCTGTCCCGTAGACCCTGACCGACGGATGAAATGAGTACTCAGACACAGGTATGTAGTGTAAGAGCAGCTAGGGGACTGCCTGGTTCAAGTGGCCAGAGTGCAGCTCCAAGCAGCTGGAGCTGCTTGCTTTTTTTAGTGCAGGAATAATGCTGAAAACCTGGAGCCAACAAAACCTGCAGGTAATTAACATTTATTGTTCTCCTTTCAGGGAACATCACAAGCAGATGATCAAAGGTCAGTTCCTCGTCAACATAAGTAAACAAGCCTGTTTAAGATAAATTGCCTCACACTCCCTTGAACCTACTCCTTACCCTCTGCCTCAGGGTTATAGAACAGCTGCCTTCAGCTATTCTACCGCAGGGCTCTGCAGAACCTTCTGATCTTTCAGAAGGTTTGCATCCTTTCCCTATAGTTTTTCCCACCACTCTGACCGATCCCCCACATACTATGGTGGTAAGTGACGACTTACTGTTTATAAATCATAAGTCATTCCTTAATTTTGAAGTGTAGTAAGTATACTTAGTAAGTGTAGTTACATGGGGGTGTAGTGGGAGATGAGTCCCTGACACACAAGGACTCTATCAAGAAAGTCTTTGTAGACCATTGGAGGCCATGTGAGGTCGTTTTGAGTTCTGCCTAGCAGGCAATGGCACCATTAATGACTGATAACCTGGAGAGAGACATCTGGTTTGCTCCAATTCATTTTATACATTTGAAGAGAAACTAGAGAGTAGGAGTGTATAATTAGGTGAATGCAATAAAAATAAGGGCCGAACAAAACAGAACAGTATAAGCCTGATCTAGGGCAGCGGACTTTGGGAAAGAAAATGGCCCTTTACTTCTCTTTCTGATATACCAGTCACTGAAACTTAATAGTTTTGTCTGCAAAATATTTGTCCCCCCTTTTCCCCAATCCCTGCAGCAGCTACCTTAGTTTATTCATGCTCTTGCTCCAGTGGATTAAACTGAGACCATCACCCACTTCTAAGGGCAAATTCCTAAGCCACAGATATTGAACTAGTTGTTTTTTGTTTTGTGGAGTGAGAAACGCAAGTAGAAGGTGGGGCTGAATGGCTCATTAGAAGAGCCAGGAAGGATCCAGAATTGAAAGGGAATTCACTGGAAGCATAGGAAGAGACCAATAGCAAAGATAAGTGAAGATTTTTGGAGCAAAATGCTATTATCCCTTCAGTCTACTCATGACATTCAGTACAATGTCAATATCTTGGTGCTCCATGTTGTGGAACCGGATCTCCTTTGATACAAGTTCTCTTTCAAGGTAGTGTAGCAGTGGAGGTCATGCCAAAGGGAGCATGCCCAAACATGGGTTATCATTTCTAATCTGGATTGCTCCTTGCCATTAGTGCTTCTCCCCTTGGCAAAGAGAACTTCCTAAAACATAAATCTTATTAAGTTCATCCTCAGCTTAAAAGCCTTCAAAGCCTTTTTCTTCCTCCCAGGATGAAGTTCAACTCCTAAAATGAAACATTCAGTTTTTCATGAGCAAGTCCTTAATAACCTGTCCAGCATGATCTCCTGCCTCTGGCCCCATCTTGTTCTGTGCTCAAATCAAATGGCTAAAATGCTAAAATCCATCAGTTTCATGAACCAGCCTTTCTTTTGCTTTGCACAAGCCGATCCTTTCTTCCCACACTCCTTGGGGTTCACTCCTGTAGGATACACTTGGGTCTCTGTAATAGGAGGAACCAACCACACCCCCACTATAGCCTAAGGAGTAGCGTCACATCACTGGCAACCTGGGAGGGAGTACAGGGGAATGGGGGAGCAAGGCGCTGCTGACCTTCATGGATTTCTCAATACCCCCGATGACATTATGCATACAAAAACCTTGAAGAGGTCCTTCACATCCCTTGTAAGTTGGATTCCTAGGTATTTTATTCTCTATGAAGCAACTGTGAATGGGAGTTCACTCATGATTTGGCTCTCTGTTTGTCTGTTATTGGTGTATAAGAATGCTTGTGATTTTTGCACATTGATTTTGTATCCTGAGACTTTCCTGAAGTTGCTTATCAGCTTAAGGAGATTTTGGGCTGAGACGATGGGGTTTTCTAAATATACAATCATGTCATCTGCAAACAGGGACAATTTGACTTCCTCTTTTCCTAATTGAATACCCTTTATTTCTTTCTCCTGACTGATTGCCCTGGCCAGAACTTCCAACACTATGTTGAATAGGAGTGGTGAGAGAGGGCATCCCTGTCTTGTGCCGGTTTTCAAAGCGAATGCTTCCAATTTTTGCCCATTCAGTATGATATTGGCTGTGGGTTTGTCATAAATAGCTCTTATTATTTTGAGATACGTCCCATCAATACCTAATTTATTGAGAATTTTTAGCATGAAAGGCTGTTGAATTTTGTCAAAGGCCTTTTCTGCATCTATTGAGATAATCATGTGGTTTTTGTCTTTGGTTCTGTTTATATGCTGGATTACGTTTATTGATTTGTGAATGTTGAACCAGCCTTGCATCCCAGGAATTAAGCCCACTGGATCATAGTGGATAAGCTTTTTGATGTGCTGCTGGATTTGGTTTGCCAGTATTTTATTGAGGATTTTTGCATCCATCTTCATCAGGGATATTGGTCTAAAATTCTCTTTTTTTGTTGTATCTCTGCCAGGCTTTGGTATCAGGAGGATGCTGGCCTCATAAAATGAGTTAGGGAGGATTCCCTCTTTTTCTATTGATTGGAATAGTTTCAGAAGGAATGGTACCAGCTCCTGCTTGTACCTCTGGTAGAATTCGGCTGTGAATCCGTCTGGTCCTGGACTTTTTTTGGTTGGTAGGCTATTAATTGTTGCCTCAATTTCAGAGCCTGTTATTGGTCTATTCAGGGATTCAGCTTCTTCCTGGTTTAGTCTTGGGAGGGTATATGTGTCCAGGAATTTATCCATTTCTTCTAGATTTTCTAGTTTATTTGTGTAGAGGTGTTTATAGTAGTCTCTGATGGTAGTTTGTATTTCTGTGGGATCAGTGGTGATATCCCCTTTATCATTTTTTTGCTGCATCTATTTGATTCTTCTCTCTTTTATTCTTTATTATTCTTGCTAGTGGTCTATCAATTTTTTTGATCTTTTCAAAAAACCAGCTCCTGGATTCATTGATTTTTTTGAAGGGTTTTTTTGTGTGTGTCTGTATCTCCTTCAGTTCTGCTCTGATCTTAGTTATTGCTTGCCTTCTGCTAGCTTTTGAATGTGTTTGCTCTTGCGTCTCTAGTTCTTTTACTTGTGATGTTAGGGTGTCAATTTTAGATGTCTCCTGCTTTCTCTCTACAATTCACTGCTCAACAAAATAAAAGAGGACACAGACAAATGGAAGAACATTCATGCTCATGGATAGGAGGAATCAATATCGTGAAAATGGCCATACTGCCCAAGGTAATTTATAGATTCAATGCCATCCCCATCAAGCTACCAATGACTTTCTTCACAGAATTGGAAATAACTACTTTAAAGTTCATATGGAACCAAAAAAGAGCCTGCATTGCCAAGTCAATCCTAAGCCAAAAGAACAAAGCTGGAGGCATCATGCTACCTGACTTCAAACTATACTACAAGGCTACGGTAACCAAAACAGCATGGTACTAGTACCAAACAGAAATATAGACCAATGGAACAGAACAGAGCCCTCAGAAATAATACACACATCTACAACTATCTGATCTTTGACAAATCTGACAAAAACAAGAAATGGGGAAAGGATTCCCTATTTAATAAATGGTGCTGGGAAAACTGGCTAGCCATATGTAGAAAGTTGAACTGGTTCCCTTCCTTACGCCTTATACGAAAATTAATTCAAGATGGATCAAAGACTTAAATGTTAGACCTAAAACCATAAAAACCCTAGAAGAAAACTTAGGCAGTACCATTCAGGACATAGGCATAGGCAAGGACTTCATGTCTAAAACACCAAAAGCAATGGCAACAAAAGCCAAAATTAACAAATGGGATCTGATTAAACTAAAGAGCTTCTGCACAGCAAAAGAAACTATCATCAGAGTGAACAGGCAACCTACAGAATGGGAGAAAATTTTTGCAACCTACTCATCTGACAAAGGGCTAATATCCAGAATGTACAAAGAACTCAAACATATTTACAAGAATAAAACAACCCCATCAAAAAGTGGGCAAAGGATATGAACAGACACTTCTCAAAAGAAGACATTTATACAGCCAACAGACACATGAAAAAATGTTCATCATCACTGGCTATCAGAGAAATGCACATCAAAACCACAATGAGATACCATCTCACACCAGTTTGAATGGCGATCATTAAAAAGTCAGGAAACAACAGGTGCTGGAGAGGATGTGGAGAAATAGGAACAGTTTTACACTGTTGGTGGGACTGTAAACTAGTTCAACCATTGTGGAAGACAGTGTGGTGATTCCTCAAAGATCTAGAACTAGAAATACCATTTGACCCAGGCATCCCATTACTGGGTATATACCCAAAGGATTATAAATCATGCTGCTAAAAAGACACTTGCACACATATGTTTATTGTGGCACTATTCACAAGAGCAAAGACTTGGAACCAACCCAAGTGTCCATCAATGATAGACCGGATTAAGAAAATGTGGCACATATACACCATGGAATACTATGCAGCCATAAAAAAGGATGAGTTCATGTCCTTTGTAGGGACATGGATGAAGCTGGAAACCATCATTCTCAGCAAACTATCGCATGGACAAAAAACCAACACTGCATGTTCTCACTTGCAGGTGGGAATGGAACAATGAGAACACTTGGACACAGGAAGGGGAACATCACACACCGTGGCCTGTCGTGGGGTGGGGGGAGGGGGGAGGGATAGCATTAGGAGATATACCTAATGTAAATGATGAGTTAATGGGTGCAGCACACCAACATGGCACATGTATATATATGTAACAAACCTGCACATTGTGCACATGTACCCTAAAACTTAAAGTATAATAAAAAAAATAAAAAATAAATAAAAAACAAAAAGCTAACTTCATCTTTAACCTGCCAGAAAAACATGTTAATGGACTTTGGAGAGATAGATGTAGTTATGTCTAGCACTTTATGTTTCTTGATGGCCTAGTATGGATGGGTCAGACACTGCTAGATTGTAGGACCTCAAAAATCTCTCTCTCTGGAATTCTCTGTGTCAGTTCTCATCTGATAAAAGCACAATTTTTATGAAAAAGCAAAAAGGAGCAGGCAAAGTCACACTTTGTAAATTGTAAAAGTGTTCTAGTGCTTTGCCCTTCATTGTAAATATGTTACATGCTTGTGCTATGTACAAGTTATATCCAATGCAGTATATTATGGCATATCTCCTACTTCACATTAAATATATTGTGATACAAGCTATTAATATAATAGGGTATTTGCACTGAATAATCCCAGAACATCACTTACATAGACTATAATGTGGATGGTGCTCCCTGGAGTTGTGTAATGTAGCAGCTGATAAAATATATTACATATGATACGGTATACATATTATACTGAGAACTGACACCATGTATCCCACACTATTTATGGTCTATATTAACATGCTTTTACTATTCCATTGTCTACATTGATATAATTTTATAATTCTAAAGCATTCTTATCCAGGCAAATTATTTCATTGTTCATTACAGGAACATCCCAAAAGACCCATGAACTTTTCAATAGACAGTTTATATCCCAAGCTTCTCTGAACCCCCTCATCTCAAATTTCACACTTGCTCTTTCCACCAATCATATTATTATTATATCATGATTTTCACCCTGTCTTAATCAAGAACTACATTGAAATACACCCCCCCAAACAAAACTTCCCCTCTGAGACACAACCAAAGCTCTGTTGAGTTGGTGTTCTCCCTTACTGTGATAGGCAATAAACTCAGTTGTCTTCATAACCTCAGCATATGAATTTTTTTCTTCCTTCAGTTGAAAAGTTTCACCTTTTGACTTGCAGGTAGCACTTGACAGCTTCTCTTTGGAATATCTGAATTGCCAGTATCACTATTCTTCAGCTTAGGGGCCATTATTAAGTAAAATAAGGGTTGCTTGAGCAGAAGCACAGCGATGGCTCAACAGGTGATCTGGTAACCAAGAGAGCTACTGCGGGACTCACAGGCAAGTGAGGCAGGAGAATAGGGTCTGGAGGCAGGGAACATAAGCCTGATTCATGCTGACTTCCTAGAACTAAATCAAATGGAAACACTTCAGCTATGACAGGAAATATCCTCTCCATTTACATAGGGCTCACACTGTGTAAATGACTTTGTAACTTTACTTCATCCTCTTTGTTGACATAGGGTGTACACCAAGTAACCAATGGAAACCTCCAGAGGATATTTAAACCCCAGAAATTTCTGTAAAGGAGCCCTCGAGCCCCTATGCTGCAGCCCGCTCCCACCCTGTGGAGTGTACTTTCATTTTCAGTAAATCTCTGCTTTTGTTGCTTCATTCTTTCCTTGCTTTGTTTGTGCATTTTGTCCAATTCTTTGTTCAAGACACCAAGAACTGGGACACCTTCATCCAGTAACGCAAGGAGTGTAGACAGCGTGGATATGCCAGACAAAGGGTCAGTTCATGTCCTAGATGGGACAGAGTGGGACAGTGTGAGATTTCATCACATGACTCAGAACAGTGTGTGATATAAAATGTATGAATTATTTATATGTGGGATTGTTCGTTAATATTTTCAGACCTCAGTTGGCCCCAGATAACTTGTGGAATTTTTCATTTAATATTTTCAGACCTCAGTTGACCTCAGATAACTGAAGTCCTGGAAAGAAAAACTGCTTATGAGGGAAACTATTATAAGGGGTACATGCTATTATTTTCTCTTTTGTTTTCTTACCTTCTTACTTTGCTTATCTTATACTTAATTTCTATTTTCTTTCTCCAGTCCTCTTTTCCCAAAGTTATATCTATCTCAGATCTCCCAGTAATTCCCATCATTTCCTACTGTAATTGGTGCCTAGGGATACAGGCAGTGTTGACTCTCCTAGTTACTATTCCTACAATAATACAATGTAGAAAACATTGGGATTGAACTAAATATTTTATTTACTATCAGGTGCATGAGGTCTATAAATATTAATACCTGGGCACTACAATGAGGTATTCTCTAAAACCTCATAAATAAGGGAAATGTGATATTCTTTGAAGTGAAATCAATAATTTTGCTCTCATCTACAAGGTCGCTTTAGACAGAATACTTCCTGGATCTGAAAGCTTTGACTGTGATCTAATTGAATATGTTTGCACAGCTAAAGAAGGATTAGGTTAATTAGAAAAGAATTGTTTAGCCTTAGAAATATAGAAGAAAGAAAACCAGGCAGTTTGGGCAGATCCAGGTGGAGGGAACCTTAGCCAAGATCCCTGGCAAAGCTGCCCTTTATTGTGAAATTGAATACAGGGAGACCTGGCCTCCAGAATACAAGCGTTCTGGCTCCTCTGACAAGTCTGTCCCCATTGTAAGATTGATGTCATCTGTGATAGACACATGTCCTAAACATCCAACTCATTGTACTCCCCTTGTTCGAAATCTACGCCCTCAGAGCAACTTTCCATTTAGGATTTAGCTTTTCTGGATGTCATAGAGAAAGGTTAGTCTAGTTTTAAAACTCCCTATATTCAAGTCCCTGAAACAGTTCTGTTTTTCAATATCAACTTAAAACAGGGATTTCCAATTTTTAGAATTATGGTAAAATATATGCAACATAAAATTTACCATCTTAATCATTTTTAAGTGTAGAGTTCAATGGCATTAACTACATTTACTTTCTTGTGAAACCATCACTATCATCCATCCCCAGAACTCTTTTCAGCTTGCAAAATTGAAACTCTGTACCCACTGAACATTGAGTCTCCAGTCACCCCTTCCCCAGCCCCTGGTAACCACCATTCTCCTTTGTCTATGAATGTGACTACTGTGGGCACCTCACTGAAGTGGAATCATACAGCATTTGTCCTTTTGTGACTGATTTGTCTTACCTAGCATAATGTCTTCAAGGGTCATCTAGGTTGTAGCATGTGTGAGCACGTCTTTCCTTTTTAAGGCTGAATAAAATTCCATTGTGTGCATATATACCACTTTTTATTTTTTCATTTCTCTTAAAGCGACACCTGAGTTGCTTCCACCTTTTGGCTATTATGAAAAATGCTGCTATGGACATGGGTGTACAAATACATTAGTCTCAGGAGCTTGGTTTTTGTGAGTCCACCCATGAAGAATGAATCTGTGGTTTGTGTGCTGATGAAATCAAACTGCTGAGCCTTCAAGGGCCCAACTGGAAAAAAACTTACCAGGGTAAATGACATTTTTGGGTGATTTCTTGCTACTGTTATTATGTAGAAAAAAATCCTAGAATGTACAGGTTGGATGTTGGGCAAACTGATTTTCTTAATAATAGTGCTTCTTTTGCATACATGGGAGATTGTTTTTCTAAGAGCTAGTCAAATATCACTAATATTCAAGTTCTCTTTTGCAAAGTAAAAGCTTATGTGGTCTGATGTTCTTTGCCTTCTCAAATTGAGTTAATTTGCAAATTCACAGATGTTGTTCTCAATAGACTATGATATTATATAGAAAGGATTATTTCAGTTAAAATACATCTTATGCTCTATATTCAGGGATGTCTCAGGAGTGTGACATCTCAAAATGAAATGAGGGCATTTCCTATGTTGACTTTCACCAACTTGGGCCTATTTATTTTTCTTTATACATTTATATTCTATTTTGTCTAGTGAACAGTTATTATTCCAGTCCCCTCTCCTCCGCTCCCTAATTTAGCTTTTGTATAGTAAATTGGGTACTTATAGGGAGAAATCACCATTCATTCTTTAATTCATCTATTAAAGCTTATGTAATTAGAGCATTCATTAGTCCTTTAATAGTACTTATGTTTAAAATCACAGGGCAAGGCAGGAAGGGAGGTACCAGTGACTTGAGTGAGTTAATATGCTTGGTTTTCTTCCCATTTCCCTTGAAACTAAATTTATCGGTTAAGTATGCCCTGGGATAAACTGTCCCATTCACTCAAAGAATCAAAATGCACTTCACATACTGTTTCTATGAAAGGATTACCAGATAAAATATTAATATGAGTGCAGATACAAGAAATTATCACAGAAATTTGGAAAATATACTTTCTTACAATTGTATTTCTTCATCTCTTTGTTCTTCCTGAGCCTGGAGGAAGTGGACAAAAGAGTTATTAAGAGGCCGGGTGCGGTGGCTCACGCCTGTAATTCCAGCACTTTGGGAGCCCAAGATGGGTGGATCACGAGGTCAGGAGTTCAAGACCAGACAGGCCAAGACGATGAAACCCCATTTCTACTAAAAGCAGAAAAATTAGCCGGGCGTGGTGGCATGTGCCTGTAATCCCAGCTACTTGGGAAGCTGAGGCAGGAGAATTGCTTGAATCCAGGCAGCAGAGGTTGCAGTGAGCCGAGATTGCGCCACTGCACTCCAGCCTGGGCGACAGAGCAAGATTCTGTCTCAAAAAAATAAAAAAATAAATAAAATAAAATAAAATAAAATAAAACAAAATTAAAAAAAGAGTTATTAAGAGCAGCGTCTCTGTAATCCCAGCACTTTGGGAGGCTGAGGTGGATGGATCACCTGAGGTTAGGAAGTTTGAGACCAGCCTGGCCAACATGCTGAAACCCTGTCTCTACTAAAAATACAACAAATAGCCGGGCGTGTGCAGCCTGTAATCCCAGCTACTCAGGAGGCTGAGGCAGGAGAATCGCTTGAGCCTGGGAGCCGGAGGTTTCGGTGAGCCAAGATGGCGCCACTGCACTCCAGTCTGGGCGACAGAGTGAGACCAAACACCACTCTCTGGCCGGGCGCGGTGGCTCATGCTTGTAATCCCGGCACTTTGGAAGGCCAAGGTGGGTGGATCACCTGAGGTCAGGAGTTTGAGACCAGGCTGATGAACATGGTGAAAACCCATCTCTACTAAATACAAACAGACAAAAAAATAGCTGGGTGTGGTGGCACACGCCTGTAATCCCAGCTACTTGGGAGGTGGAAGCAGAAGAATCACTTGAACCCAGGAGGTGGAGGTTGCATTGAGCTGAGGATGTACCATTGCCTTCCAGCCTGGACAACAAGAGGGAAACTCCCTCTCAAAATAAATAAATAAAAAAAAATAAAACACCACTTTCTGTGAGGCTATGCTAATTTTGTTTAGCACAAGGGATGACGGAAAGCCATGCACTGTTTCACTGTGCAGGTTAACTTTTCCCGTGGCAGGTAGAGTTAGATAGCATGAGAAATCTCTCATTCTTTTGTGGGCATTTTATTAAGCTGGTTTGTCACCAGACCAAGCTTATTTGTGTACATGGAAAGTTACGAGAAAGAATTGGTTTACCCATTGCACGTTTGGATTGATTACCATGTGAATTGTTGGCAGCATCTGGGAGACCTAGTTCACATGGCTCTGTAGTGAGGATAATTGTATTGCCTTGGACTTTCTCAAAGTGTTTTCATAGAGAACACTTATCAGTGCTAATGTGTCCGGAATTGCTGGGTTCTTGGTCTCACTGACTTCAAGAATGAAGCCGCGGACCCTCGCGGTGAGTGTCACAGCTGTTAAGGTGGCGCGTCTGGAGTCTGTCCCTTCTGATGTTCAGATGTGTTTGCAGTTTCTTCCTTCTGGTGGGTTCGTGGTCTCGCTGGCTCAGGAGTGAAGCAGCAGACCTTCGCAGTGAGTGTTACAGCTCTTAAGGCAGCGCGTCTGGAGTTCTTCGTTCCTCCTGGTGGGCTCGTGGTCTCGCTGGGCTCAGCAGTGAAACTGCAGATCTTCGCAGTGAGTGTTACAGCTCATAAAAGCAGCGTGGACCCAAAGAGTGAGCAGTAGCAAGATTTATTGCAAAGAGCAAAAGACCAAAGTTTCCACAGTGTGGAAGGGGACCCCAGCGGGTTGCCAATGCTGGCTCGGGCAGCCTGCTTTTATTCTCTTATCTGGCCCCACCCACATCCTGCTGATTGGTAGAGCCGAGTGGCCTGTTTTGTCAGGGTGCTGATTGGTGCGTTTACAATCCCTGAGCTAGATACAAAGGTTCTCCACGTCCCCATCAGATTAGTTAGATACAGAGTTTGGACACACAGGTTCTCCAAGGCCCCACCAGAGCAGCTAGATACAGAGTGTCGACTGGTGCATTCACAAACCTTGATAAACACAGGGTGCTGATTGGTGTATTTACAATCCCTGAGCTAGATATAAAGACTCTCCACGTCCTCACCAGAGCAGCTAGATACAGAGTGTGGATTGGTGCACTCACAAACCTTGAGCTAAACACAGGGTGCTGATTGGTGTATTTACAAACCTTGAGCTAGACATAAAGACTCTCCACATCCCCACCAGACTCAGGAGCCCAGCTGGCTTCACCTAGTGGATCCCATACTGGGGCTGCAGGTGGAGCTGCCTGCCAGTCCCGCGCCATGCGCTCTCATTCCTCAGCCCTTGGGTGGTCGATGGGACTGGGCGCTGTGGAGCAGGGGATGGTGCTTGTCGGGGAGACTCGGGCTGCACAGGAGCCCATGGAGAGGGTGGGAGGCTCAGGCATGGCGGGCTGCAGGTCCTGAGCCCTGCCCCGCGGGAAGGCAGCTAAGGCTCTGTGAGAAATCGAGCGCAGCACCGGTGGGCCGGCACTGCTGGGGGACCCAGTACACCCTCCGCAGCCGCTGGCCCGGTTGCTAAGTCCCTCATTGTCCGGGGCCAGCAGGGCTGGCTGGCTGCTCCGAGTGCAGGGCCCGCCAAGCACACGCCCACCCGGAACTCCAGCTGGCCCGCAAGCGCCGCACGCAGCCCCGGTTCCCGCTCGTGCCTCTCCCTCCACACCTCCCGGCAAGCTGAGGGAGTGGGCTCCGGCCTTGGCCAGCCCAGAAAGGGGCTCCCACAGTGCAGTGCAGGGCTGAAGGGCTCCTGAAATGCCACCAAAGTGGGAGCCCAGGCAGGGGAGGTGCCGAGAACAAGCGAGGGCTCTGAGGACTGCCAGCACGCTGTCACCTCTCACTAACAGGTAAACAGGTTCTATGACCAAATAAATTTGGGAGACAATGGATGAAGTCACATTATATAGAATTTTTTTCTGTGGGGCTTTCGGGTAGCTTTAGCTTGCTGCAGCTCCTTGGGAGGAGGGCCAGGAGACCATGTAGCCCTTAGTGTTAGGAGCACAGGATGTCTCCATGTAGAGCCAGGGTGAATTCCCGCTCCTGCACTTACTTCTTGTTGACCTGGGCAAGTCATCAAACTTTTTAGCATCTGAATTTTTCTTTTTTTTTGAGACAGAGTCTCACTCTGTCACCCAGGCTGGAGTGTAGTGATGCAATCTTGGCTCACTGCAACCTCCACCTCCACCTCCCAGGTTCAAACAATTCTCCTGCCTCAGCCTCCCCAGTAGCTGGGATTGCAGGTGTGTGCCACCACGCCCAGCTAATTTTTGTATTTTTAGTAGAGATGGGGTTTCACCATATTGGCCAGGCTGGTCTCGAACTCCCGACCTCAAATGATCCACCCACCTCGGCCTCCCAAAGTGCTGGGACTATGGGCATGAGCCACTGTGCCCTGCCGCATCTGAGTATTCTTATTTGTAAAATGATGGACTTAGACCACTAAGGCTTCATTCAGTTGTATGATTTCTGCAATAAATAATTTTCCAAAACTTCAGATAAATCATGTAAGGCACAAGGAAGGAAAATTATGGTTTGACTTTCAGTTTAACTATGATAATTCATAATTCATCTTCATCTCATAATTTACTTTTATTTTTAAAAAAATGCCAGTACAAGGAATCGGCCAAATAAATATATTTTACCAGCCTTTTTTTTTTCCCCTCTGAGTAATACAAGTCAGTAATACATGAAACTATATGGTTAGCCTTGTTTTAGAAAAATAGATGAATAGGCCAGGCACAGTGGCTCACACCTGTAATCCCAACGTTCTGGGAGGCTGTGGTTGGAGGATTGCTTGAGGCCAGGAGTTTGACACCAGCCTGGGCAACATGGTGACCCCATTACTACCAAAAATAAAAAATTATCTGGCTGTGGTGGTATGTGCCTGTGGTCCCAGGCACTCGGGAGGATGAGGTGGGAGGATTGTTTGAGCCCAGGAGGTGGAGGCTGCAATGATCTGTGATGGCACCACTTCATTCCAGCCTGGGTGACAGAGCAAGACCCTGTATTCAAAAAAAAATAATAATAAAATGAAATTAAAAACAAAAAACAGGTGAATCAGTCATTTTCCCCTCTTCCTTCTGACTATTGGCATATAGTTGCTGCATTTTAATTTTAGTCTTGCTTTTCATTGTTGGAGTGGTGAAGATGGAAGAATGATATGTCCTTTTGAAAAAATCTAACTACAAAATAAATTTTGTCTTGAAATTCTATTTTTTGGTAAAAAACATATAATCTGAAATGATAAAGAAAGGCTTTGGATCATCAAATGAATTTCTATGAATGCTTACCTCTAAAATGTTGCTTTCATGAATCTACAATACTAAATTTCTGTCATATGGATGATGCTGATGGTCATTCTATGAATGAATAAAAGTTGGTAAACAGAGAAAAGCCCATATCTAATAAAATGTCTTTTTCTATTGACATTGTGCTGTACAGCATCTGTGTTCCCCTCGAGTGGGAGATGCATGCTTTATTTATATAGGAAATCATAAATAGAATACACATTCACTGGTGAGGTAAATTGCAGAATAAATTTTTTATTAATTCACAAACATTTATTAAAAACCTACTGTGTTCCAGCCAGTGTTCTAAGTGCTGAGAATACAGTCCTATAGAGAAGATAGACAAGAAGAGGCCATACAACATAGTGACAATGCATCCTGCTAGATCAGTTAGGCAATGATAGTAAAGCAAAGAGGAGGGCCACCTAACCTAACCTTGTGAGATCAGGAAAGCCTCTTAATTAAATTAATAAAATTTAAATAGGCCAGGCATGGTGGCTCATGCCTGTAATCCCAGCACTTTGGGAGGCTGAGGTGGGTGGATCACTGGAGGTCAGGAGTTTGAGACCAGCCTGGCAAACATGGTGAAACCCCATCTCTACAAAAAAATAACAAAAATTAGCCTGGCGTGGTGGCATGTGCCTGTGGTCCCAGCTATTTGGGAGGCTGAGGTAGGAGATTTGCTTGAATCTCGGAGGCGGAGGTTGCAGTGAGCCAAGATTGTGCCACTGCAGTTCATCCTGGGCAACAGAGCAAGACTCCATCTCAAAAAAAAAAAAAAAATTTAAGTAGTCATTTGTCTTGACTACATGACCCTAAAAGAATTTCAGGCTTAAATTGACTAATATCTTTTAGTCCAAACCACTTTGCTTATTATTTCTTCATTTAAAAAACTAATGCTTGTTTATGTTTTTCCAAATGTAAAAGTCAGTATAGGAGATTACTTATGAAGTCCTGAAAAGTTTAAGAAAATTTACATGACTTCTACTATCTACAAATTATCAATAATATGTTTATATATTTCTTTTGTCATCATTTCCATACGTTACAAAATAGATATAGACATAAATACAATTCTGTATCTGATATTAACATCATGATGTATTTATGTCATTAAAGATCTCTAAAGTATCTGTATGCATAATTTTCAATGACTATTCAAGTAAACCAAAATGTATTAATGTTTTTATATTTATGTAGTTTCATACATTCTTCAAGTATAATCAAATGACTTACAATATTCAACTACCTACTGAAAAATAATATAACATAATCAGCTGTTTTCTATTCCCTAAAATCGGTACCTCAAAAGATTATATTGTATTTGAGATTTCCTTCATTATTCAGTAAACTAATGCATAGGCTACATCGTCTAATATATGGTAAATTAAACATATCCAGAGATTATCTAGATAAGCAATGTATATTAAATATATTACTTTTTAAACAGAATTTCTATGCTCCATACATTGTAGATGTGTTTTGGCCCCTAGATCATATAGCAACATTTGAAAACTAATATTTTAAGATAGTTCAATGCCTCTCAGGAAAGAGTAGAGAATATATGTACCACGGGTCAAATGACATAATTTGTTGGATAGATACAAAGTCATACTTCTGTTGAAATTGTGATGATTTTCTACTTTGGTCAGTAGAACCCAAGTACAAGCCCAAATACAAATTCTAGACTCCTGTCCGTCCTCACTTTCTGACAGCTTTCAAAATCCACAATCAATGTTACAGAAATTTCAAGGAAAAAGAAGATCCAATTTATGAAATACAACCCCCCTCCTTAAATCCTTGTACGTTTCTACTTTCATTTTGCTACAGCTGGGGTCTTTCATTCACAGCCATCTACCAAACTTTCCCCAACACACTCTGAGTGAGAAGCTATTCAGTTTGTGATTCGTAGATCACCTTAGCCTTTCTGCAACTTTCGGTTTTGTACATGCTCATCCATTTGGTATGATCTGAATGTTTGTGTTCTCCCATCATTTATATGTTAAAACCTAACCCCCATGGTGAAGGTATTAGGAGATGGGGCCTTTGGAGGTGATTAGGTCATGAAGTCACAGCCCTCATGAATGAGATTAGTGCCCTTATCAGAGAGGCCTGAGGGGGCTTGTTAGCTTCTTTTTGCACAGAAGGTGCCATCTATGAGGTGCCATAACCAGACATCAAATCTGCCAAAACCTTGATCTTGGACTTCCAGAACTTTGGTTGTTTATAAAATAACCAGTCTAAAGTTTAGTTATAACAGTCCAAATGGGTGAAGAAATTCAGTAAGCAACAGTTGTTCCCTCCAGAAGCCCAAGGTGAAGGAGGAGAAAGATTATATTAGATTGGTTGGTTCTGTTACCTAGTATTAATTTTTGGATCTGTCTGTTATATAACCTTACTATAGACTTCTGGATAATTAGAGAATCCCCACTTCATTCACTAAAAGGGCCAAATCAGTATGCTTGACATTCTCAGAAAAAAAGTTTGACACTACTCTTAATTCTGCCTTCCATTCCACCAGTGGCCTTTACTAGAATACTTGACAGTGAACTGGTTTAGTTGCTCATGTTATAAGGCAGAAAGCTGTACAAAAGGTTTTTCTAGGTTTTGGTTAGAATTAAGTCTGTAAGCTGACCACAGGCACATAAAGAAGGCATCAAAATAAAAGAGAATTCAAATGACATAATGAGAGTGTTTATTGTTTGTGCCTAAGTGGTCACATCAGCTACAAATTATGAAGCTGTGTTTTCCATCCTGGACCCCTTCTTGCACCAAGCTTTGACCTACTCTCTATACACTGTGCTGTCTCAAATAATTACCATCAACAACCACACACACACACAAATTGGCAAATATACTCTTTCCCTAAATCCAAACCACAGAAACAGAAGAGATTCATGAGTCATAAATGCAGCTTCATTAAATTCAGTTGTAAATTATATGAGGTTTCTAGTTTGCCCCACATCTAGACAGGGTCGCTTCTGCCACTACTGTGACTATTTGTAGCAGCTGGTTGCTGTGCAACTATGAGAAGACACAGGATGATCTGATCCATGAACAGTTACCCTGTAATTGAAGTAAAATGTGAAAATAAGAAAATGTTCCCAGTGAGATTTACCAAGAACATCTCCCTGTAAATCTTTCTGTTATGCCTATCTGACTTCTTGAAAATGGTATAAATTCATCAGTTCTAATTGATATGAAAGTTGAAAGAGTGAAGGAATAATAAACATAATAACTAATGGCCGGGCGCAGTGGCTTATGGCTGTAATCCCCGCACTTTGGGAGGCCAAGGCAGGTGGATCACGAGGTCAGGAATTTGAGACCAGCCTGACCAACATGGTGAAACCCTGTCGCTACTAAAAATACAAAAAATTAGCCAGGCGTGGTGGCACGCACCTGTAATCCCAGCTACTCAGGAGGCTGAAGCAGGAGAATCACTTGAACCCAGGAGGCGGAGGTTGCCATAAGCCGAGATCGCGCCACTGCACTCCAGCCTGGGTGACAGAGTGAGACTCTGTCTCTAATAAATGAACAAATAAATAATAATAATAATAATAACAAAAGGAGCTATTGCTTATGGATAACTTATTAATGCATTTTAAACATATGTTAACTTATTTAATTTTTGCAATAATTCTATGAAAGAAAGTATAATTTTATTAATATTTTACAAATGAGAAAAATTAAATGACACAGCTAGTAAGTGAGGAAGTTGGGGCTCAAATGCTGCATGGTCTGACTGCAAAATTGGTTATTTCAATGACTTTGCCAGGCTACTGTAGCCTTCCTTGGAGCAGTGAGCTAGTCCCAGGTTTATCTACATTTCATCATCTCCAAATCTTGCAGAGTCTGGCAGTGTGTTTGTTTGTTTGCCTTTGTTCAAGTTAAGAGTGCTTTTCATATTGGTTCTTCTGAGATAAGCAATTTAGGAAATAGAAAGGGAAGAATGTGTAAAGATTAGGGGAATCAGAAGTTTGGGGGATGAATGAGGAGAGAGGAGGAGAGAAGATAGAAAAGTTAGAATTCTTCTGGTCTCTATTAACTTACACTGTTCAAAAGTTATGATGAAGAAAACCTTAAATACAGCCACAGAGGGACTGCAGATTCCTATGATATCTTTCTGGATCTCATATCTAAACCAATTTATAGCATTTAGCAATTTATTTTTTCCTTGGTGCCTGGGCACAATGAATTAGGAAAATGTCTATTTTTGTTCTAAGAGATTTCTACTAAGGGCTAAGGAAATCCCTGGATAGGAACTCCCAAGCTATATCCCCCAGGTGCCATCCCCACCCCAAAGCCCATATGTTGGGCCAGTCTGGGGGCTCTGGGGAACTAAAGGAAAGGAAATGTCTTAGTGTTCTCCAGCTCCTCATTTCTTTCTCTAGCCTTATACTCTGGCTCTGACTAGAAACGATGATTATTGTAGGAAAGGAAGTAGATCTATAACATTTTGGTCTGATAGGCTGATGGAGGAGAAATGGAATCATGGAAACATTCTGAGTACCTCCATTCATGATGGACCAAAAATCAGATTTATCTGTCATGATCTCAGATGTTTGTGTGTCACTGAAAGAAATCTGTGTAACTTGATTGAATCCTAATCTATTCAGGGAGAGGTTTCTAGGGACATGCAAAGTTTATGATAGAAAATACGTTTTGGCCAGGTGCAGTGGCTTATGCCTGTAATCCCAGCACTTTGGGAGGCCGAGGACGGTGGATCACTTGAGGTCAGGAGTTCAAGACCAACCTGGCCAACATAGTGAACCCCATCTCGACTAAAAGTACAAAAATTAGCCGAGCATGATGGCAGGTGCCTATAATTCCAGCTACTCAGAAGGCTGAAGCAGAAGAATGGCTTGAACCCAGAAGGCAGAAGTTGCAGTGAGCAGAGATGGTACCACTGCACTCCAGCCTGGGCAACACAGCAAAACTCCATCTCAAAAAATAAAATAGAATAAAATAAACTTTGCTTTACTTTGAAGAGCAATGCAAAGAAAGAAAGGGCCAACAGATTAGAATGAAGGATTCCTGAAACAGGCCTATTCCTAACATTGCATTACATTGGTTGGCTGGCTGGATTAATTGATGAATGGATGGAAGAAATCTTAACATTTTGGAGCACTAGTATTTGATAAAGTAATTGTCTTAGTCTGTTTTCTTTTCTGTTGCTATAACAGAATACCATAGGCTGAATAATTTATGAAGAAGAAATTTATTTCTTACAGTTCTGGAGGCCAGGAAGTCCAAGAGCATAGTGCTGGCAACTGGTGAGGGCTTTCTTGCTGTGTCCTAACCTGGTGGAGACCATCACATGGTCAGAGGGCAAGAGCATGTGTGTTAGCTGCTGCTTCTTATAAAGCCACCAGTCCCATCATGGAGGTCCTACCCTGAAGACCTTTTCTAACTCTAATTACCTCCCAGAGACCCCACCTCCCATCAACATATAAATCTGGGGGGACACATGCAAACCATAGCAATAATTAAGCAGTATCATTAAAAAATTTGGGGCTATTAGCCCTTGATAGAATGATTTAGACTTTCTGGGAAATGGGCATTTATTTATTTATTTATTTATTTATTTATTTATTTATTTGAGAGGGAATCTCGCTCTGTCACCCATGCTGGAGTGCAGTGGCGCCATCTTGGCTCACTGCAGCCTCTGCCTCCCAGGTTCAAGCAATCCTCCCACCTCAGCCTCCTGAGTAGCTGGGATTACGGGCACACACCCCACGCCTGGCTAATTTATTATTGTTACTTTTTTTAAACGGAGTCTCGCTCTCACTCTGTTGCCTAGGCTGGAGTGCAATGGCTCGATCTTGGCTCACTGCAACCTCTGCCTCCCGGGTTCAAGCGATTCTCCTGCCTCAGCCTCCTGAGTAGCTGGGATTACAGGTGTGCGCCACCATGCCTGGTTAATTTTTGTATTTTTAGTAGAGATGGGGTTTCACCATGTTGGTCAGGCTGGTCTCGAACTCCTGACCTTAGGTGATCCGCCTGGCTCGGCCTCCCAAAGTGCTGGGATTGCAGGCATGAGCCACCATGCCCAGGCTGGGCTTCCTTTTATTGAGAGAATAAAGGATGGAAAGTGACTCATTGCGGGTGCAACTTCTATGTTAATATCACTTAAGTGAATGCCATTTTTAAACATTTTATAGATGTGTTCGGTTGTCTGATATCTATTTTCTCTTTCACTCAGATTGTGTCATCTCTTTTTGTTTGGGGGAACCTATTTTATTAGATTAAAACATGCATTGTGCAATCTAGGATTAGTGTCTATGGAACTCAGCTTGGGAGACAGTACCTTATTTTGTATTAATAATTTCATTGTCAGAGCTTTGAATAAATGGGATAATCAATCACCCACAAAGTGTGACTTGAAGGACACTGACTAATTTCAAGCATGTTTGAAATTTGCATCATTTAATTCAATTAAATTCATACAGCATTACCTGAATATTTGATGTGTGCCCTGCACTAGGAGAGAGAGACACACAGATAAATATCTATATTTCAGTTTGGTGAATCCATAATAAAATACTATATATTTGAAGCTTTATTTGCACATACGTAAGGAAGCAATTAGTTGTGCCCAGGCAGGCAGGCAGGAAAGCAATGGAAAAGCAAAGTACCTTTTAAAGGATCCTTAAAGAGTCAGAAGAGACTCAACAAGGAGCCAAAGGATGTGTGTGGGGGTGGGTGGGGTGGAGGGAGGGCATGTGAAAGGCACAAGAACAGCGACTATTATCCAGGTTTTGATATTCCTTGATAAGTGATTCCTCAAAACACTACCTCTCTGATGATGAATTCTGTTTCCCAAATACCATGATATCAAGGAAGAAAGTAAACTGATATGAGACACGTGTCTTTCACATCTTCTAATCAAAACAGTAGCTGTCATCTGTGGTGGGTTTGCTGTAAAGCCAATGTTTCAGGGTCTGTCATTTGCATGAAGATCTTCCAAGATTCTGTGTGTAATTCTGTATTAATAATTTCATATATTCCTTTTGAAGGGGAACTCCCCCAAATTCTGTAAAACTCAGATCCCATAAAACTTGGATCTGTCCCTAGCTACCATTTATTGTATGGTGTATCAATCAGGGTCCAATCAGGAGACATAAATAACACAGTAATTTGAACAGGGAATATTTAATATAAAGATTTATAACTGTAATATGGAATTGGAGGCCTGGGGATTGGCTAGTAAGGAGTGAAAATAACTTTAAAGAATGCAGGAATGACAGATACAGGGTGTAGCCACTAAGAGCTGAAAGAGAGAACCCAAGGAAGGAACACATCTGAAAAAGCCGGTCTCCCTGCTCTCAAACCTCGTACCAAGGCTGAGATCCAGACTTTATTGGTGAGGGCATGGCTGTGGCTCCCTGAATGGCAGAGAAGTTTGCTGAGGCTGTGAAGCCCTCAAAAAGCATTCCAGGGAAGCCATGTTTGGGAAGGTACCAGGCCTGAGGCACATCACTGAAAAGCTCTCTGAAAGAGTGTGGAGCAAAGCCGTGCATGGGAGCTGCCTTGGACTTCTGGCCAGCTAGCGATGCAGGAGCCTGTGCTGGAAAAGCTGCCTTTGCTGTAGGTGCTGGGTGCTGCAGAAGCTGCACAGGCTGAAGCAGCCTGTCCAGAGGGCTATCACAAAACCAGGAAGCACAACTGCTTCCTCCTGCAGGGTCCCTCCAGCACCCTCACCTGACAAAGTTCAAATTTTATCATCATGCAAACTGCAAAGGAAAAATACATTTTCACAGAGCACAGAATAAAGAGTAGACTTGGATCTCAAGTAACTGACACTTGAAGTTTCCATACATAAGTCATATATGTTATCTCATTCAATTCCCGTAAGAACCCTGTCTGTCCCATGTACATTTTATTGGCATGAAGTACTGCTTGTGAATATACGTATTTCTGACTCTGCTGACAAAACTGGATTTTTGGATCCATCTAAACAATGGGATGTCTCCTTTTGAAACAATGAGATGTCTCCTGTAAGACTATGTCTGAGAGGGGTCACCTAGAAGCACCAGGAGGAGGGCAGCTAAAAAGGCCTGTCAGTCATTTTAGCTTTCCATGACTCCTAACAAGCAATCACTTCTCATTTCAGCATTTAGACTTGGCTTCAAATCTGGAAAGCCCAAGACGTACATCAGGAGTGTGGCTATTAAGAATTTAATTAAAACATTCGAATTCGGTTGGGTCTACCCTTTAAACTATGACTACCAAAGTACTTATAATTTCTTAGTTCCCTCTAGAGGGTTCAGTTATCAATTAGCCTGATGATTTGGGGGTTCTTTTTAGTGTATGTGGTTGAGGCATAAATGGGAAAATAAAATCTTGAAACAAATTTACATCTGGTTTTTAAAAATTAATTAGTTTTCATATTTAAAGTATATAGGGATTCAATCAGATTGGTATATTGAGTGGTATGACTGAACTTTCCACTAGATGACACTGTTGTTTCAATTTATTTGCATTGGTCTTTGCCTTATTTGGAATGGACTTCACAGGTTAGCAAACTACTTGAAGGAATTTAGTAGCTCACCATTCTGCTTCCAGGTAAAATATCCCAGTATAGGAGGATCTAGCTTATTTGGAAATGCCTTAGGGAAACTACTTAAGTCTACCCTTGTAACATCCCTGAAACTTAATTCTCTTTATTGTCAAGAAATTGTTTTATACCAATCTATATTTTTAATACTGCTGTTTAAACACATTTCTTTTTCCTCTGTTCTCCATGAAGATGAAGAAAAACAGATCATCTTCTTATATATAAAAGCCTTTCAAATACAGAGGACCAGTATAAAATTGCTTTTCATCTTTCTTTCCTGAAGGCAAAAATAATATAATTTCTTCTAACTTTTCATCACATTTCTTCACCAGTCATTTGGACTCAGTTTTGATGATTTTTGATGAGATCTGAATTCCAAATGGACTCCAAAATGCTCCAAAGACTTTAGATTTTGCTTATGACCAATTCACTTAGTTTCTCAAAGTTTCAGCAACGTGGCCTAATACTTTCTTGGGTTCTTAAACAAACACAGAGAATCAAGCTAATATTGGTTTAAGTATCCACCCTTCATTCTGATGTTGGTGATAGAGGTTGAGTGGACAGGTGTTTATCAACTCAGACTTGTCCCAGATAAACCATCTTTGAAGCACCATTCTCTTTCCCACCTGTGGACCTCTGTACTTATTATTCTCTCTACCTGGGATGCTCATAATCTCTCTGCCCTATTCTCTTTCCTCTTGTGTAGTTTCTACACATCTTCAACCTCAGGCTAAACATCATTTTCTCAGGAGACTTCCCTTAGCTCACATCATCTGCTGTCCGGCACACCAGGTTGTGGACTCCATTAGAGTCTTTCTTAGTACCTTGTACTTGCTTTTGTGGAATGTTGCACACATGTAGCCATTTAATTATTTGCGAGCATTTGTTTAATGTCTGCTTTTCTCTCATTAGACTCTATTCAGTTAGGGATGAGATCTGTTTCATTCATCTACAAAGCCCCAGCACTTCTCTGGGAATATAGTAGGCACATAGTATGAACTCGGTAGGTTATTTTAACTAACTACTGGATGAATTCTTGACTAATTTTTGCATCCTTTCCTTTTCTGAGAGATAACACTTCTTAGTAGGGCAATTCTCATGAATCAGGAGGTAGACAGGAGCATGACTCATTCAAAGACCTGGAAGAAAGCCAGGGATGTATACAGGAATGGAGAGAGCTATACACACCTGTCTGGTGAAGAAGTTAAGGCCAGACTTTAGACTTCGAACTGTGGGCAGTTAAAACTATTGATGGGTTTTTGAAGAGGGAAATGATATAGTCAGATGGTCGCAATTTACCAGGAATGTTGAATGGTTCATGAAGACAAAGACCATTTGTGTTGAGAATTTTAGCAGTAATCTTGACATTGAGCCTGTTCCTTTTATAATTTTATTTCCAGTTGTGATTTTTGAGTTTCTTTTTACCATGCATTACAAGCTAATCATACAGATGAAGATGATGAAAATGATGTGGATAATCACAACCTAATATCTAACATTTTTTGAGCACTTTCTGTATACCAGGCACTGGTCTAAACACTTTATATGCATTATATTAGTGATTAAATTTTAGTATGCATAACAATCACCTTGAATGGCTTCTTGCTAAGTACTGGTAGACCTTACCCTCAGAGTTTCTGATGCAGTAGATGTGGCTGGAGCCTGATAGTTTTTGTGTTTCTGAAAATATCCTAGGTAATGCTGATGCTGCTGGTCCAGGGACCACACTTTGAGAACCACTGCACTGTATCATTTAATTGTTAAGACAACTGTAAAAAAGAAGGACTACTATTATCTCCTCTTTATAGATGAGGAAACTGAAGCTTAGAAAGGTGAAATAACTTGTTTAGAGTCACACAGCTAGTAAACGGCAGAACTGTCAGATCCAGATTCATCTAACTCAAAAGTTGGTCTTAACCCCTAAGGTAAATGTTCTCAAACTTTGTGCATCAGAATCAATGGAAGAGCTTTTTAAAAATTCAAGCCAGAGTTCTACCCTATCTAATGAATCAAATCTTCTGGCGTAGGATGGGCTATTTGTTATTGGACAAGCTTTTCAGGGGGACTGTAATGCCCATCAATTTAGAAAAATAGTGCATTTGGCCACACGTTGTAATACCTTAGGAGTTCAAAAAAACTACTGACACCAGTTAATCTGATTTATTTGGGCAGCAGTGTGGCTTGAGAATCAGAATTTGTAATGTTGCCTAGGTGATTCTAATGTGTAGCTTGAGAAACATGATAATCACTGCACTAAAGTTCTGTTTCTTGAACTTGACTGCTTATTTTTTGGACACACTTCAAAATGAATTCATTATGCAAACGAGAGGTTAAAGCCATAAGACTCCACAGCAGCTTTAGTAGGGGTAGGAGTTCTGAAGGTAGAGGACCTGGGTTTAGGTTGTTCTATCATTTACTAACTCCATTGTAACCTTGAGTGAGTCACCAAAAATTTTCTGAGCCACAGCTTTCTCATATATAAAATGAGAATAATAATGAGATTACATACTCATCATAATAATGTTAATAGCATTATTATGAAAATCAAATGAGATTATATTATTTTAAGGCTTTATGAAATATTGAATACTAAACCAAGATGAGGGATTGTTTTCACCCATATTCAAGAGAGACTTCTTAGCAAGCATCTATCCTAGCTGGTAATAAGTGAGGTATATTAATTTTTTTTCTACCTTCAGAAGCCATAATGCCCAGCTCGTATTTAGGTAATTATGTCAAATATATTTCCTTGGATTTTTTTTTCTTGCAGGGCTAAACAGAGACGCAATCTTTTATATATCACTGGTATGCTTTCCTGAAAGCACCAAATTATAGGCAGGACTAATGCGTTGTGAATGCTTACTGCCAGTTTATTGTGGCCTGCTTCTGACATATCACCATCTGAAAAGCCATCACAGAGGAAAGAAATCATTCAGAGTCTAATTTAAATAATGGCCACATCTTTGCAATGATGACAGACTGTGACAGTTTATAGGTTTTAGATGGCGACTCCCGCACTTTGTAAAAACAGATCATCTGCCAGTGGACCTACGATTATTGCCCCACATACATTTGTGAATTTTTAAAAGGAAATTGAGTGTGCAGCTGCCATTACAACAGGTAAATTTAGATGAGTGAATGTATCTATCAAGTGACTTTAAAAAAAATATTATCCTCCTGTGCTCCAATTCCTGAAGCCCCATTTCCAATTTTCAAATTTCTTCTTGGAGAAGAGGTAGAAAATAATGGAGAGAAGCTGAAGGAATATCTCTTGGTAAGAATGGAACTGGGAGAATTAGAAATCGTTTTCTCTCTTCCTCATCCTCAGTATGCAAGCACCATGATTCTGGGAAACCAGAAGGTGCAGCGTAGAGGGACTGGCTTGACAGAGAGGAGGCTTACAGAATGAATTAAAAAGAATCCCAGCTGGTCGTGGTGGCATGTGCCTGTAATTCTAGCTACTTGGGAGACTGAGGTGGGAGGATTGCTTGAACCCACAAGTTTGAATCCAGCCTGGGCAACATAGTAAGATCCCGTCTCAAAAACAGAAAAAACAAAAAACGTATTCCTTTCGCCTTTTTCAAGGATGAGCTTTTCTAACCCCTTGCCTGCACAAATAGAGCCCTTTCTTCCCTATGCAAAAATCTTTAAACTAGGGAGGAGGGAAACTTAGGTTGAACACGTTGTCCAGCCACCTTCACACCTGGGGAAAAATGTCCTTTCATGGGGCAAGGACAGTTTTTCCTTTATTCTGAGGAGAAAAGGTGTTTTCAAAAGTAAAGAGTAGGTTGTTATCTGTGCTCTGAATTTAGAGTAAAGGTGACAAAGACCCAGAGTTGGAATAACAACTACTGGTTGTAGAATACTTTAAAAGATTAGCAAAATTTCCTTATGAAATTCTACCAAAAGGCACCTTCACTTTGAGTCCTAACTCAATGAGATTGCAGTATTTTTTTAAAAGTGTTTCTTGAATGATTTTCCAATGAGTTCCTAAGCAACAAATTCAGTGATGTTGTAAGTGTTTATATGACTTGACCATTTGACATTGGCGAGCATGCTACTTGGTCTTCTCTCCTGTTGTTTCCCTGCTTATGGTCAAAGCAGAAAAGAAGTATGAAGTGAAGAGTGGTCAGATGAATAGGCACTAAAGCCTCTTCTATGTAGTATTAATCTGGCTTCCACAATGCTTTGTTCATTTCTCAATGATAGCACTTACCAAGTTGGGTTGTAATTTATTGTTCTCCCCTATTAAACTATGAAACCCTTGAGGGCTAAGCAGTGCATTACTCTGTTTAGTACCCATTGTGCTGGTAAATAATAGGTGTTTAGTAAGTGTTTATCAAATGAATGAACAAGCATTTGAGCCAATGTATAATAATAAACCTAAGTGAAAATCAGCAATGTATAAGAACCTATGTTTCATATGATGTTCTGTTTTAAAATGCATATATATTCAAACATGTTACTTTACTAACTTGGCTTACAAATACATTCACATCTCTCTTATTTCTCAAATCTTTGGGATCCCAGAGTTCTGTTTTAGAAGAGGGTCCCGTACCTTTCTTGTGTACTATTCCACCCTGAATTGCTCAAGAACCCCAGGGACTTATTCAATGTGGAAGGGCTAGTACGCAATCTGATCAGTTCAAGGGTGGGTCCTGTTTTTAGCAGTTCTTGCTTTGATTGATTGAATCCTTATGTTCTCTTGCCTGCTGTCTTCCCTTGAATCTTTATTGAGTTCCTTCTGTGGGCCACGCACCGTTCTAGTTGCGCCATCTCATGCGTCCCTGTCCCCTGCTACCGAGAGACAGCACACTCTTGGCTGCTTCAGATCTCTGCAGATCACAAAGTGGCTCCAAACTCCATGCTCAGAATCCCCAGGTTACCTCTTTTGTGTTTGTCTAATTGGATTCACAAAACAGGTTAAGTCTTGAGGATCTTCTAGACTCAGCCACACTCTGTGCTGGGCCAATCCCTTTTCCCAGACTTCAGATCTTTACTTTGAAAGAATAAAGTACCCCAGATTTCCACCCTTCTGAGGGACTCTACTTTGGGTACTTGGTGTCCTTTCCTACCATCAGGCCACTGTCAAGACCATCCCAAATATTCTAATAATGTTGAACTTCAAAAAGGGAAAAGATCAGACTCACCTTTTTTTTTTTTTTTCCTCAGGAGGCTTCTAGACTCTTATGCAAATTTGTCCACCTTCTCCACAAATGCTACCTCTGCTTATCAAGAAATATAGGGAGACTTTGTCAGGGTTCATCAGGTTCTATCTTTTCCCCAGGTAATAGTGCCTGCTAGTCTTACTTTTGTGTAACTAAGAGGAGCCAGTTAAGCGACTCTTGCCTGAACAAAATAAAGTCTGCTCCAAGGTGCCTTGTTATGTCCATCCATAGATTCAAGAGTTCTTGGATTCAATGTTCATTTTAAAATTTCTTCTTCACATGCATTCTCTTTATCAAGTCAACAGAAAGTGTTAATAGTAACCAACCATTTCTGGGCAATAATATTGTAAAATATAACTTTATTTTTCTCTTATTTTTCTCAATAGATACATGCTATTTGAAAAATAAAATGCTAAGAGTTAGTAAAATAAAGAAATATAAAGTAAATAAGTTCATAGCTTTAGAGTAAAAAATATCAGCTGCACATGAGAGAGCTGGAATTTATCTTTGAAAATAAAACATGACATTGTCTATAGGTTTCATCCTCTGTTACTTCAAGCCAATTATAAATGAGTTTATAAAAATGTCTATTTACCTGCCCTGTTTGCTTACTTTGTAAAACGAGAGTGCTAGTAACAGATGATGCATACAATCTAAAGACATTTGCTCTGGGTTTTTTACTTAGTTTTGTTTATGGTGCTTTGCATACATATAAGTTTAAATTCTATTTTACCCTCTATTGTGTAATTTATTTTTTATAAAGCATATAAAAATAGAAAAGTAATTCTAAAACTTTTATTGTAGAAATAGAACCAAAGTGTTGCCTCCATTTGTGCTTACATACCATTTTATGTTAACCTAAAATTTTCTAAGATGGATAGCTCATCCATTGGCGTTTTTTCAGGAAGGCTGGCAAAATCTCTCAGGCAATCTCCTTCATATATGTTAACATTTATAAATATGATTTTAATGTTGCTTTAATCTCAAAACATATCATCAAAACAGAATAATCCTAGAGCAACACTTTGCTCTTTCAATGCAAAGTAGACTAGAGGAACGCTTTTAATCATTTTTTGGTTGAATTGTCCTTCGTCAGTTACCTTGTCATATATGCTAAATGATGTCCAGCAGAGCACGGTGGCTCACGCCTGTAATCCTTATCTTCTCTAAGACTTGTGTTTGAAAACTGTTCTCAGTTAAACCCTGTTCCATTTAGTTGTAGAAAAATCAAAAATATAAACTTTTTTTGGGCACAAAGCTTGTTTTTAGCTTCCAGGGCTGGATATTCATATGTTTTGAGTCCAGGAGTTTCAGACCAGTCTGGGCAACATAGAAAGATCTTGTCTCTACAAAAAAATAAAAACAGAATTAGCTGGGTATGGTTGTATGTGTAGTCCCAGCTATTCAGGAGGCTGAGGTGGGAGGATTACTTGAGCCCAGGAGGCTGAGGCTGCATTGAGCTGAGATCGCACCACTACACTCTAGCCTGTGTGACATAGTGAGACCCTGCCTCAAAAAAAAAAGAAAAAAAAAAGAAAAAAAAGATATCCAAACATTTGAGAAAGACAACATATGCGGAATGTGCTCTTGATTGACTAAAATATGAAATCCCCTATATCAGTTCAAAATGGTGAGGGAGCAGCTCATTTACTCCTCTGACTTCGTGGGACTGGAGTTACAACAGTGGGAACTGTGATAACTCACACTTCCTGCACAGCTGGGCGGATGAGAAAAATGATTTCATTAGGAAGAAGATTCCAGAATGGAAGTGAGTTGCTTTTACAAATTTCATAGTAAAAACAGCTTTTCCTACTTTCTATATTCCTATTCTGCAAATGCGTGGCACATTTCTGTCTGCTAGGTTACTTTTCTAATTTGATTCTGGTTCCTATTTGAAACTGCTTTGAGTAAGTTAAAGGGAGGGTGCAAAGGTTTCTTTGCAGGGAGGTGGGAGTGCTCAGCCACAGAAACTTCATTATCCTCTATAGGCTATTTGTGGTCAAATGTCATGGAATTCAGAGGCAAGAGATCCCTTGTATTAGGTCACATCTATTAGATTATTTCATGATTCAATGAGTCATAGAATCAGAGATTGTTTTAGTTGGAAAGAACCCTGGTGATTTATCTAGTCCAGCGGTTCTAAACTGGCTGGGAACTGTGGTGGAGGATGGGGTGGACGAGGGGCGCGGTGTCAAAAGCCACATGACAGACCTCCTCTTCTTGATCAACCCCATCTTCTCCCAATTATGGCAGGTAAGAATCTCCCAGAGGTAAGAATATATATATATATATGGAAATATCTCGGGGGTTCTGTCTGATAGGATTCTCTGGCGGACAGCCATACATTTCATAGTCATATGTTTAAGAAAATGAGAAAAGAAATTCCAGAAAAGTGAAGTAATCCCCATCACTGATAGACTCAAGCCCAGAGACCTAATTCTCAGTCCATTTCTCTTGTAACTCGATTGAGGAAATTAAGTATTTAAATATACCTTCCAAGTAATCTCTTTCCTGTGTTATTCTTCAGAATAGGTACATAGAGTGCAAATGTTGATATAATCCTATTTAGTTCTTTTCTGATTTGTGAAGGTATGTGGACAAGTTGTAACACATCTAGACAGAAACAGGAATCAAACAGAATTATTGAAGAGGGACTGTTCCTTTGTTTTTCTCCTATTGTGGCACTAGCATATTTTCTTAGTGGAGAGACTCAACTCAGTCCCTGTATCTTTCTGAAAATGTCCCTAGATAGGTTGTTTAAATTAGACTTTTATAAAAAAAGTTAAAATGTTAAGTCATGAATCCATTAACTCATATTATTGGATGAGATCTCTCTATTTTTTTTTTTACTTTACAGATAATAACTACATAAAATATGCAGTGAGTTTGAATATTAACTTCCAATTCTTTCTCACTCAATGAGTGCTGGCAATACTTAGCTAGTATACCTAGTAGAATTGCCAGGCTTCTGGCCTGGGCCATTGTCCTTTTGTTTCTGACTTTGTAGATCCTGTTCTATAGATTCATCACAATCTATACTAGACTGGCTGCTTCAGGGTTTGTGTGTACAACATGTGGAAAGTTGGACTTTCTTCATGTACTTGTTCAAGGTATACAAATATCTAGATACTAAGTCTTGTTTAAGTGCATTAACTTCTTTATAGAATGCCTTGTAAAAGACAGGCCACCTGCTTTACTATAAAATATTGGGGATATGCTTTTTGTCTCTCTTTAATCTGAATGCCTAGTATCTGTGTTCTTTTTCACCTGCATCCTCTCTGCCAAATCTATTAAGTTTAATGCCAGCAGATGAGTTTGATCTTTCTGGGTGGGAAGCATCCCTTCCCACTTAAGGTCTCAACTGAAAGTGAATGTCTATTGGATTAAAAAAAAAAGACACTTCAGATACATCTCATGCTTGGAGGTGTTCTTATTTAAACATTTCACATCTGGTTGGATACAGAGCAATCTTCTGGCTGCTCCTAGCTTCCAATGCACAAGCTCACTCACTGCCACCCATATCTCGGGCCAACTAATGTGATTTTAAATGTTCTAGTAGTCGTATTAACAAGAGTAAAAAGGAACATGTAAAGTCAATTTTAATAATATATTTTAGGCCAGGCGTGGTGGCTCACGTCTGTAATCCCAGCACTTTAGGGGGCTGAGGTGGGTGGATCACCTGAGGTCAGGAGTTCAAGACCAGCCTGGCCAACACAGTGAAACCCCGTTTCTACTAAAAGTACAAAAAAATTAGCCAGGTGTGGTGGTGTATGCCTGTAATCCCAGCTACTAGGGAGGCTGAGGCAGGAGAATCGCTTGAACCTAGAGGCAGAGGTTGCGGTGTGCCGAGATGGAGCCACTACATTCTAGCCTGGGCAACAGAGCGAGACTCCATTTATATATATATATATATATATGTATCTTAGTTAATCCAGTATAGCCAAAATAACATCATTTCACCATGTAATCAACATAAAAAGTATTAATGAGTTATTTTACATTCTCTATTTCTTACTAAGTCTGAAATCTGGCATATATTTATACTCATCTCAATGTGAATGCTAAATGCAGAATATTTATTGTCAGTACTTGATCTGTATCCAGATTTCATAACATTTCTGGTTGAAAAGTAGAGCCACACATCCAAGATTTTCCAAACATACTTAAAATATTCCAATAACTAAATTGAGTATCAAAACATAATTTTCCTCTTATATTCACATTCACATTGATAAAACCAGTTCATGTTTTGAGAAGAATTAATTTGACTTTGAAGCCAAGTATGAATTTCAAAACTATACCTGTGTAAGTTAAGTAAATTTACTAACTCTGGTGTCAATATAGTGTTAACATTGAATTCAAAGGGGGTATACATAAATTGAAAAACAACTTTAAATTAATCAATATTTTTCTTGTGGTCTTACAGCCAGTTTATATAACATTATAAATTGCTGTTAAAATCTTGTGTATATTGATTCATGCTAGAAAAATGAGTAAAATAATTATTTACATGTATTATGAAAAATTTAGATTTCAATATAAATGTCTGTACTTGTCTGTCTAAGTCACAAATAAGCTTTCCCTTTTCTCAATAGTTCACATTTAGCTCATTCACATGCAGTGTGAGATCTGTGAGAAATCATAAATCATATTGCCCCTTTTGTCTTTGATTTTTGAATATTTGGCAAATATTCCCTTTGTTTCAAGAAAATCTTGAATAGGAGTATTAACAAGTAAATTGAGGCATATTAAAATATTAAAGAGTTTATATGAGCAAACAGCAAATCATGCAGCAGACAGCTTTAAACCAGAAGGGATCCAGGGACTGAGGTATTTGAGGGAAAGCTGCTATAGGGTAATCATGGACGCAAAGCAAATAAATTATTTGATTGGTTAAAGTATAGCAGTAGCCTCATTTGGAACATGCCAGTGGACAGTCCTAGTTGGAAATTAGTTGGCAGTTTCTGGTTGGTTACACTTAAATTTCATTTTGTTGATTTATTTTTTTTGAGACGAGCCTTGCTCTCTCTCCCAGGCTGGAGTGCAGTGGTGCAATCTCGGCTCACTGAAAGCTCTGCCCCCCAGGTTCATGCCATTCTCCTGCCTCAGCCTCCCGAGTAGCTGGGACTACAGGCACCTGCCACCACTCCTGGCTAATTTTTTTGTATTTTTAGTAGAGACGGGGTTTCCCCTTGTTAGCCAGGATGGTCTCGATCTCCTGAGCTTGTGATCCACCCGCCTCAGCCTCCCAAAGTCCTGGGATTACAGGCGTGAGCCACCGTGCCTGGTCAAATTTCATTTTTTTTAAGAATATGACTGTTTACACTGGAGCTACCTCAGCTAATGGCCTCCCAAGTAATTATTTTAATGGAAATTAACAGTACAATAAAGTTTTGTAAAATGCTTCCACAACCCAAACAAACAGCATTCACAAAGAACACAAGGTCTTTAATCTATTGCCTTCTATTTGTTTTAATGATTCTATTAACTGACAATGATTAATAGTTTGCACATATTTAATGAGTGATTTTAACAACTGTATCTGCAACACTTGTCATAGAGCCTGCTTCAGAAAACTAAGCAGAAATATTTTAAATATCTATTATACAGTGGTAGAAAGAAATGAGGGAAATGTCAGTCTCTTATTTTAAAATTTCAGTAAATCTGGATTTTTAACCTCACCAAGCTGAAGCATTATTTATCATGACAGAAACCATTTTTTTTCTTATCCTGTTGAAAATGTTTTGACAGATATACAAGATTAAAAAATATCTATTCTGGGGTGGAGCCAAGATGGCCAAATAGGAACAGCTCCAGTCTACAGCTCACAGCGTGATTGACGCAGAAGACAGGTGATTTCTGCATTTCCAACTGAGGTACCGGGTTCATCTCACTGGGGAGTGCCAGACAGTGGGTACAGGACAGTGGGTGCAGCGCACCGTGTGTGAGCCGAGGCAGGACGAGGCATCGCCTCACCCGGGAAGTGCAAGGGGTCAGGGAATTCCCTGTCCTAGTCAAAGAAGAAATGGGTGACAGATGGCACCTGGAAAATTGGGTCACTCCCACCCTAATACTGCACTTTTCCAAAAGGCTTAACAAACGGCACACCAGGAGATTATATCCCGCGCATGGCTCGGAGGGTCCTATGCCCACGGAGCCTCACTCATTGCTAGCACAGCAGTCTGAGATTGAACTGCAAGGCTGCAGCGAGGCTGGGGGAGGGGCGCCCACCATTGCTCAGGCTTGAGTAGGTAAACAAAGCGCTCGGGAAGCTCAAACTGGGTGGAGCCCACCACAGCTCAAGGAGGCCTGCCTGCCTCTGTAAGCTCCACCTCTGGGGGCAGGGCACAGACAAACAAAAGACAGCAATAACCTCTGCAGACTTAAATGTCCCTGTCTGACAGCTTTGAAGAAAGTAGTGGTTCCCCCAGCACGCAGCTTGAGATCTGAGAATGGTCAGACTGTCTGCTCAAGTGGGTCCCTGACTCCCGAGTAGCCTAACTGGGAGGCACCCCCCAGTAGGGGCAGACTGACACGTCACATGGCCAGGTACTCCTCTGAGACAAAACTTCCAAAGGAACGATCAGGCAGCAGGATTTGCAGTTCACCAATATCTGCTGTTCTGCAGCCACTGCTGCTGATACCCAGGCAAATAGGGTCTGGAGTGGACCTCCAGGAAACTCCAACAGACCTGCAGCTGAGGGTCCTGACTGTTAGAAGGAAAACTAACTAACAGAAAGGACATCCACACCAAAAACCAATCTGTACGTCACCATCATCAAAGACCAAAGGTAGATAAAACCACAAAGATGGGGAAAAAACAGAGCAGAAAAACCGGAAACTCTAAAAATCAGAGCACCTCTCCTCCTCCAAAGGAACGCAGCTCTTCACCAGCAACAGAACAAAGCTGGACAGAGAATGACTTTGACGAGTTGAGAGAGGAAGCCTTCAGAAGATCAAACTACTCCGAGCTAAAGGAGGAAGTTCGAACCAATGGCAAAGAAGTTAAAAACTTTGGAAAAAAATTAGATGAATGGATAACTAGAACAACCAATGCAGAGAAGTCCTTAAAGGACCTGATGGAGCTGAAAACCATGGCACGAGAACTATGTGACAAATGCACAAGCCTCAGTAACTGATGCGATCAACTGGAAGAAAGGGTATCAGCGATGGAAGATGAAATGAATGAAATATGAATGAAATGAAGCGTGAAGAAAAGTTTAGAGAAAAAAGAATAAAAAGAAATGAAAAAGCCTCCAAGAAATATGGGTCTATGTGAGAAGACCAAATCTAAGTATAATTGGTGTACCTGAAAATGACGGAGAGAGTGGAACCAAGTTGGAAAACACTCTGCAGGATATTATCCAGGAGAAATTCCTCAATCTAGCAAGGCAGGCCAACATTCAAATTCAGGAAATACAGAGAACACCACAAAGATACTTCTCGAGAAGAGCAACTCCAAGACACATAATTGTCAGATTCACCAAAGTTGAAATGAAGGGAAAAATGTTAAGAGCAGCCAGAGAGAAAGGTCGGGTTACCCACAAAGGGAATCCCATCAGACTAACAGCGGATCTCCTGGCAGAAACTCTACAAGCCAGAAGAGAGTGGGGGGCCAATATTCAACATTCTTAAAGAAAAGAATTTTCAACCCAGAATTTCATATCCAGCCAAACTAAGCTTCATAAGTGAAGGAGAAATAAAATACTTTACAGACAAGCAAATGCTGAGAGATTTTATCACCACCAGGCCTGCCCTAAAAGAGCTCCTGAAGGAAGCACTAAACATGGAAAGGAACAACCAGTACCAGCCACTGCAAAAACATGCCAAATTGTAAAGACCATCAAGGCTAGGAAGAAACTGCATCAACTAATGAGCAAAATAACCAGCTAACATCATAATGACAGGATCAAATTCACACATAACAATACTAACCTTAAATGTAAATGGGCTAAATGCTCCAATTAAAAGGCACAGACTGGCAAATTGGATAAAGAGTCAAGACCCATCAGTGTGCTGTATTCAGGAAACCCATCTCACGTGCAGAGACACACATAGGCTCAAAATAAAGGGATGGAGGAAGATCTACCAAGCAAATGGAAAACAAAAAAAGGCAGGGGTTGCAATCGTAGTCTCGGATAAAACAGACTTTCAACCAACAAAGATCAAAAGAGACAAAGAAGGCCATTACATAATGGTAAAGGGATCAATTCAACAAGAAGAACTAACTATCCTAAATATATATGCACCCAATACAGGAGCACCCAGATTCATAAAGCAAGTTCTTAGTGTCCTACAAAGAGACTTAGACTCCCACACAATAATAATGGGAGACTTTAACACCCCACTGTCAACATTAGGCAGATCAACGAGACAGAAAGTTAACAAGGATATCCAGGAATTGAACTCAGCTCTGTACCAAGTGGACCTAATAGACATCTACAGAACTCTCCACCCCAAATCAACAGAATATACATTCTTTTCAGCACCACACCACACCTATTCCAAAATTGACCACATAGTTGGAAGTAAAGCACTCCTCAGCAAATGTAAAAGAACAGAAATTATAACAAACTGTCTCTCAGACCACAGGGCAATCAAACTAGAACTCAGGATTAAGAAACTCACTCAAAACTGCTCAACTACATGGAAACTGAACAATCTGCTCCTGAATGACTATTGGGTACCTAACAAAATGAAGGCAGAAATAAAGATGTTCTTTGAAACCAGCAAGAACAAAGATACAACATACCAGAATCTCTGGGACACATTCAAAGCAGTGTGTAGAGGGAAGTTTATAGCACTAAATGCCCACAAGAGAAAGCAGGAAAGACCTAAAATTGACACCCTAACATCACAATTAAAAGAACTAGAGAAGCAAGAGCAAACACATTCAAAAGCTAGCAGAAGACAAACAATAACTAAGATCAGAGCAGAACTGAAGGAAATAGAGACACAAAAAACCCTTCAAAAAATCAATGAATCCAGGAGCTGGTTTTTTGAAAAGATCAACAAAATTGATAGACCGCTAGCGAGACTAATAAAGAAGAAAAGAGAGAAGAATCAAATAGATGCAATAAAAAATGACAAAGGGGATATCACCGCTGATCCCACAGAAATACAAACTACCATCAGAGAATAGTACAAACACCTCTATGCAAATAAACTAGAAAATCTAGAAGAAATGGATAAATTCCTCGACACATACACTCTCCCAAGACTAAACCAGGAAGAAGTTCAATCTCTGAATAGACCAATAACGGGCTCTGAAATTGAGGCAATAATTAATAGCTTACCAACTAAAAAAAGTCCAGGACCAGACAGATTCACAACCGAATTCTACCAGAGGTACAAGCAGGAGCTGGTACCATTCCTTCTGAAACTATTCCAATCAATAGAAAAAGAGGGAATCCTCCCTAACTCATTTTATGAGGCCAGCATCATCCTGATACCAAAGCCTGGCAGAGATACAACAAAAAAATAGAATCTTAGACCAATATCCTTGATGAAGATCGATGCAAAAATCGTCAATAAAATACTAGCAAACCGAATCCAGCAACACATCAAAAAGCTTATCCACCATGATCAAGTGGGCTTCATCCCTGGGATGCAAGGCTGGTTCAACATACGCAAATCAATAAACGTAATCCAGCATATAAACAGAACCAACGACAAAAACCACATGATTATCTCAACAGATGCAGAAAAGGCCTTTGACAAAATTCAACAACCTTCATGCTAAAAACTCTCAATAAATTAGGTATTGATGGGACGTATCTCAAAATAATAAGAGCTATCTATGACAAATCCACAGCCAGTATCATACTGAATGGAGAAAAACTGGAAGCATTCCCTTTGAAAACTGGCACAAGACTGGGATGCCCTCTCTCACCACTCCTATTCAACATAGTGTTGGAAGTTCTGGCCAGGGCAATCAGTCAGGAGAAGGAAATAAAGGGCATTCAATTAGGAAAAGAGGAAGTCAAATCGTCCCTGTTTGCAGATGACATTATTGTATATCTAGAAAACCCCATCGTCTCAGCCCAAAATCTCCTTAAGCTGATAGGCAACTTCAGCGAAGTCTCAGGATACAAAATCAATGTGCAAAAATCACAAGCATTCTTATACACCAATAACAGACAAACAGAGAGCCAAATCATGAGTGAACTCTCATTCACAATTGCTTCAAAGAGAATAAAATACCTAGGAATCCAACTTACAAGGGATGTAAGGGATCTTTTCAAGGAGAACTACAAACCACTGCTCAATGAAATAAAAGAGGATACAAACAAATGGAAGAACATTCCATGCTCATGGGTAGAAAGAATCTATATCGTAAAAATGGCCATACTGCCCAAGGTAATTTATAGATTCAATGCCATCCACATCAAGCTATCAATGACTTTCTTCACAGAATTGGAAAAAACTATTTTAAAGTTCATATGGAACCAAAAAAGGGCCCGCATTGCCAAGTCAATCCTAAGCCAAAAGAAAAAAGCTGGAGGCATCACGCTACCTGACTTCAAACTATACTACAAGGCTACAGTAACCAAAACAGCATGGTACTTGTACCAAAACAGAGATATAGACCAATGGAACAGAACAGAGCCCTCAGAAATAATGCCGCATATCTACAACTATCTGATCTTTGACAAACCTGAGAAAAACAAGCAATGGGGAAAGGATTCCCTATTTAATAAATGGTGCTGGGAAAACTGGCTAGCCATATGTAGAAAGCTAAAACTGGATCCCTTCCTTACACCTTATACAAAAATTAATTCAAGATGGATTAAAGACTTAAACATTAGACCTAAAACCATAAAAACCATAGAAGAAAACCTAGGCAATACCATTCAGGACACAGGCATAGGCAAGGACTTCATGTCTAAAACACCAAAAGCAATGGCAACAAAAGCAAAATCGACAAATGGGATCTAATTAAGCTAAAGAGCTTCTGCACAGCAAAAGAAACCACCATCAGAGTGAACAGGCAACCTACAGAATGGGAGAAAATTTTTGCAATCTACTCATCTGACAAAGGGCTAATATCCAGAATCTACAATGAACTCAAACAAATTTACAAGAAAAAAACAAACAACCCCATCAAAAAGTGGGCAAAGGATATGAACAGACACTTCTCAAAAGAAGACATTTATGCAGCCAAAAAACACATGAAAAAATGCTCATCATCACTGGCCATCAGAGAAATGCAAATCGAAACCACAATGAGATACCATCTCACACCAGTTAGAATGATCATTAAAAAGTCAGGAAACAACAGGTGCTGGAGAGGATGTGGAGAAATAGGAACACTTTTACACTGTTGGTGGGACTGTAAACTAGTTCAACCATTGTGGAAGTCAGTGTGGCGATTCCTCAGGGATCTAGAACTAGAAATACCATTTGACCCAACCATCCCATTACTGGGTATATACCCAAAGGACTATAAATCATGCTGCTATAAAGACACATGCACATGTATGTTTATTGCGGCACTATTCACAATAGCAAAGACTTGGAACCAACCCAAATGTCCATCAATGATAGACTGGATTAAGAAAATGTGGCACATATACACCATGGAATACTTTGCAGCCATAAAAAAGGATGACTTCATGTCCTTTGTATGGACATGGATGAAGTTGGAAACCATCATTCTCAGCAAACTATCGCAAGGACAAAAAAACCAAACACCGCATGTTCTCACTCATGGGTGGGAATTGAACAATGAGAATACATGGACACAGGAAGGGGAACATCACACACCGGGGACTGTTGTGGCATGGGGGGAGGGGGGAGGAATAACATTAGGAGATATACCTAATGCTAAATGACGAGTTAATGGGTGTAGCACACCAACATGGCACGTGTATACATATGTAACAAACCTGCACGTTGTGCACATGTACCCTAAAACTTAAAGTATAATAATAATAATAATAATAATAATAATAAAATGCAACCACTAAGCTATAAAATGCAACCAAAAAAACTGTTAAAAAGAAGATACACTATAAACACTATGAATAACAACATGGAATTCTAAAACAAATGTTCAAGTGACCCACAGGAAGTCATGAAAAATAAGCAGAGAAACAAGAATTGATACAGAAAACAAAAAATGTCAGGCTTATGCACTAAAGTATCAACAATTAGTTTAATTATGAATGGTCTACCAAGGGACAGATAATAGAAGAGTGTATTTAAAAGTATGACCCTTTCTTATATGTTTCTTGTATGCTGTGTACAAGAAACTTGAAATTTACCAATACAGGGGAGGCCAAATTAAAAGGATGAAAAAAGATACATTACACAAACATTAATGAAAGGAAAGCAACAGTGCCTGTATGTATATCAGATAAAGCAAAGAAAATTACCAGAAACAGAGAGATTATATAATGATCAAAGGTTTAATCCATGAAGAAGACAGCAATTTCAAAAGTGTATTCACCAAAAAGTGCTTCAAAATATGTGATGTGAAAACTGCCAGAACTGAAGCGGGTCGGGCTGGGACCAGCGCTGCCTCAGGATGTAAAGTGTAACAAGGGGGCCAGGGAGGGTTGGGGATGCAGTATGGGCCTGTGAAGCCTGTGGGTGCCCGCGTTCCCCAGCTCCCCCCGCAGCCGGCTCCGCAGTGGTCCGCTCCGGTTGGTTGCCGCGTGCGGATTCGGGTTCCAGACCCAAGGCTGCGTGTTCTCCACCGTTTGTTGTGGCCAGTGTTACTGTGGTGACCGCCAGAGCAGCCTTCGCGCTATGGAGGAGCCCGGTGCTACCCCTCAGCCCTACCTGGGGCTGGTCCTGGAGGAGCTACGCAGAGTTGTGGCAGCACTACCTGAGAGTATGACGGCAGATTCGAATCCTTATGGTTTTCCATGGGAACTGGTGGTATGTGCAGCTGTTGTTGGATTTTTTGTTGTTCTCCTTTTTTTGTGGAGAAGTTTTAGATCGGTTAGGAGTCGGCTTTATGTGGGAAGAGAGAAAAAACTTGGTGAAACGCTTTCTGGACTAATTGAAGAAAAATGTAAACTACTTGAAAAATTTAGCCTTATTCAAAAAGAGTATGAAGGCTATGAAGTAGAGTCATCTTTAGAGGATGCCAGCTTTGAGAAGGCGGTAGCAGAAGCACGAAGTTTGGAGGCAACCTGTGAAAAGCTGAACAGGTCCAATTCTGAACTTGAGGATGAAACCCTCTGTCTAGAAAAAGAGTTAAGGGAAATCTAAACATTCTCAACAAGATGAATTGATGGCGGATATTTCTAAAAGGATACAATCTCTAGAAGATGAGTCAAAATCCCTCAAATCACAAATAGCTGAAGCCAAAATCATCTGCAAGATTTTTCAAGCGACTGAAGAACGATGGGCAATAGCAATAAAAGATGCTTTGAATAAAAATTCTCAACTTCACGAAAGCCAGAAACAGCTTTTGCAAGAAGCTGAAGTATGGAAAGAACAAGTGAGTGAACTTAATAAACAGAAAATAACATTTGAAGACTCCAAAGTACATGCAGAACAAGTTCTAAATGATAAAATCACATCAAGACCCTGACTGGACACTTGCCAATGATGAACGATCAGGCTGCTGTGCTTGAAGAAGACACAACGGATGATGATAACTTGGAATTAGAAGTGAACAGTCAATCGGAAAATGGTGCTTATTTAGATGATCCTCCAAAAGGAGCTTTGAAGAAACTGATTCATGCTGCTAAGTTAAATGTTTCTTTAAAAACCTTAGAAGGAGAAAGAAACCACATTATTATTCAGTTATCTGAAGTGGACAAAACAAAGGAAGAGCTTACAGAGCATATTAAAAATCTTCAGACTCAACAAGCATCTTTGCAGTCAGAAAACATATATTTTGAAAGTGAGAATCAGAAGCTTCAACAGAAACTTAAAATAATGACTGAATTATATCAAGAAAATGAAATGACACTCCACAGGAAATTGACAATAGAGGAAAATTACTGGATAGAGGAAGAAGAGAAGCTTTCTAAAGTGGAAGAAAAGATCAGCCATGCCACTGAAGAGCTGGAGACCTATAGAAAGCTAGCCAAAGATCTTGAAGAAGAATTGGAGAGAACTGTTCATTTTTATCAAAAGCAGGTTATTTCCTACGAGAAAAAAGGACATGATAATTGGTTGGCAGCTCGGACTGCTGAAAGAAACCTCAATGATTTAAGGAAAGAAAATGCTCACAACAAACAAAAATTAACTGAAACAGAGTTTAAATTTGAAGTTTTAGAAAAAGATCCTAATGCACTTGATGTTTCAAATACAGCATCTGGCAGAGAGCATTCCCCATATGGTCCCTCACCATTGGGTCGGCCTTCATCTGAAACGAGGACTTCTCTCTCCTCAAACTTTGTTGGAGGATCCACTCAGACTCTCACCTGTGCTTCCAGCGGGAGGAGGAAGAAGCCCAAGCGGCCGAGAGAATCCTCTGGACCATCAGATTACCAATGAAAGAGGAGAACCAAGCTGTGATAGGTTAACTGATCCTCACAGAGCTCCTTCTGACACTGGGTCCCTGTCATCTCCATGGGAACAGGACCATAGGATGATGTTTCCTCCACCAGGACAATCATATCCTGATTCAGCTCTTCCTCCACAAAGGGAAGACAGATTTTATTCTAATTCTGATAGACTGCCTGGACCATCAGAACTCAGAAGTTTTAATATGCCTTCTTTGGATAAAATGGATGGGTCAATGCCTTCAGAAATGGAATCCACTAGACATGATGCCAAAGATGATCCTGGTAGTTTAAATGTGCCTGATTCATCTCTCCCTGCTGAAAATGAAGCAACTGGCCCCGGCTTTATTCCTCCACCTCTTGCTCCAATCAGTGGTCCATTGTTTCCAGTGGACACAAGGTGCCCGTTCATGAGAAGAGGACCTCTTTTCCCCCAACCTCCTCCAGGAACGATGTTTGGAGCTTCACAAGGTTATTTTCCACCAAGGGATTTCCCAGGTCCACCACATGTTCCATTTGCAATGAGAAACATCTGTCCACTGAGGGGTTTACCTCCTTACTTTCATCCAAGACCTGGATTTTACCCCAACCCCACATTCTGAAGGTAGAAGCGAGTTCCCTTCATGGTTGATTCTGCCTTTAAAGGAGCCTGCTACTGAACATCCAGAACCACAGCAAGAAACCTGACAATATTTTTGCTTTCTTCAAAAGTAATTTTGACTGATCTCATTTTCAGTTTAAGTAACTGCTGTTACTTAAGTGATTACACTTTTCTCAAATTGAAGTTTAATGGAATTGTAGTTCTCAGGATAGTATTTTGTAAATAAAGATGGTTTAAATATGAATAAAAAATAAAAAATATCTATTCTACAAGTTTGAGTTTTCAGGCTGTCAATTGACAACATTTCTTCATAAATTTGAAAGTCCTCAGACGTGCTCTTGAGACACTCATAAAGGACGTGGTTTTACATGCTATCCATATGATGAAGACTTCCATACATATCATATGCTCAGCCCTAATCTCTTTCCTGAATTCTAGACTCAAATATCCAATATCTACTTAACATTTCCAAATTCTTGATGCTCCTGCCAAACTGCCTTTTTACTTAGTCTTCAATAAATGATAACTCCAGGCCAAAACTCTGAGAATTATTTTCAACTCTTCTCTTCTCTTCACACCCTATGTTTAATCCATCAGCACATCTTGTTGACATTACCTTTTGAATGTATTCTAAATATGACAGTTTCTCACCAATCCATTGTTATGACATTAGTCCAACAGGACCTCTTGGGTGGACCATTGCAAAACCTCTTAAGTCTTCCTGTTTCCAATCTGTAACTTTTGTCTTCTATTTTTAACTCAGCAGCAAGCCAGATCATTCTAAGCTTCTCCTCCACATCTCTTGAAAAGATTCCCATCTCATCAGAATCTGGTCCGTAAGTGTTGCCATGGCCTATAAGGCTATGAATCTCACTCCCAGCTGCCTATCCATCCTTACCTCCTACCATTTTCAGCTTTTGCTTACTGATTTCTTCTTCTGTGGCTTCCTTGCTGTTCTTCAAACACTTGAATCCTTGGGGTTATTTTTTTGAATCTACAACTCCTCTCTGCAACATGCTTTCGCTGACAACCAATGACTCATTCAATTAATTCATGACTCTGCTCAAAGGTTGCGTTATCAGGGAAGACTCCTCTGAATACCTGACCTAACATATGTTGCTCTCTGTGTCTCTTTACTTGCTCTGTATTTCTTTATCAGTTACGTTATACATTTATTTGTTTTGGAGGATTATCTGTATCCCCATAGAACAAAAGTATCAGCAGAACAATTTATATGCACCTGTTACTGCTGTATCCCCAGTGATCAGGCCACCATCTAGCACACCACATATTCTCACTTATAAGTGGGAGCTGAACAATGAGAACACGTGGACACAGGGAGGGGAACACACACACTGGGGGGCCTGTCAGGGAAGGTGGGGAGAGGGAGAGGGTCATGATTAATAGCTAATGCATGTGGGGCTTAATACCTAGGTGATGGGTTGATAGGTGCAGCAAACCACCATGGCACACATTTACCTATGTAACAAACCTGCACGTACTGCATGTGTATCCTGAAACTTAAAATAAAATAAAATAGAATTCTAAAAAAATTCTAAAAAAAGATGCTTAATGTGCAGTTGTTTGGTTAATAAATGATTTATACTTCTGATTAAAACTCAATGAGTAAATTGAAATCTTAGAATATCTGTTTTCTGGATATTCCTATCTTCTGAGTATAAATCATTTGTTTGTGGTGGCTAAAATGCATGAAAATAAATTAGGCTTTGAAAATAACCAACTGTTATTTAGATTTTATGCTGCAGGCATTTTGTGGTTGTTTACAACCATGTAATGAGCATTGGCCAATGTCTCTTATGGTTTTGGGGAATAGTTCAATTCACAGAGTCCAGATTTTTCCATTGGTTATTTATTTTTTCATTCTCTTCAGTTCAGTCTTATTTTTTCCACAGCAAGCTCCATGTCTATCTGTAAGCAAATCTCAGGTTTCGAGTTAGTGCAGGACTACCTTTCCTATCTTTGTACGGGTACAAATTTTATAGTCACAGACTTGAGTGTGCAAAAATATAACCTTATTGTCTATAACATTTTATTTTGGGGCTCTGAACTCCCATTCTCAATGTGGCATAAAACTCAATACAATCACTGCTGGGAATTTCAGTCACATTCAGTGATTTTTTTCAGTCCCTTCAGACTTAGCCCAGTCACAGTCAGGACATTTTATGTCCACCTTTCCCCGTGGACTTGCAGATTCACTGTGTGGTGGGTAAAAGGACAGAAGTGGTGGTGGCGGAGGGGTCAGAGTTGTCTTCTCCTCTGTACTGACTCTGTCCTGTGCCAGGAAGGAACTGCTCCTTTGGGCCCTCAATACTGGTAATGGGGTGCTTCCTCTAATGCACACTGAGACCTGTGGGTCCTGACTGGGCTTCCCTCAGCTCCCTGGAGCCAGCAGTCTTCTGACATGCAACTTGTCCACTCTGGTACCCAGTAGATGGTCCACACTGCATCTTTCTCGGAAGTGTCCCCCAGAAACTTCCCTTGTTTCAGCTTCAGTCTTGACCTTCTGGTTCAGTCTCTCTTACCAAATACCATTTGACCCAGCAATCCCATTATTGGGTATACAACCAAAGGATTATAAATCATTCTACTATAAAGACACATGCACACATATGTTTATTGTGGCACTATTCACAATAGCAAAGACTTGGAACCAACCCAAATGTCCATCAATGATAGACTGGATAAAGAAAATGTGGTACATATACACCATGGAATACTATGCAGCCATAAAAAAGGATGAGTTCATGCCCTTTGCAGGGACATGGATGAAGCTGGAAACTATCATTCTCAGCAAACTATCAAAAGAACAGAAAACCAAACACTGCAGATTCTCACTCATAAGTGGGAGTTGAACAATCAGAACACATGGACACAGGGAGGGGAACATCACACACTGGGGCCTGTCTAGGGGTGGGGGCTAGGACAGGGAGAACATTAGGAGAAATACCTAATGTAGGTGGCGGGTTGATGGGTGCAGCAAACCACTATGGCACGTGTTTACCTGTGAAACAAACCTGTACGTTCTGCACATGTACCCCAGAACTTAAAGTGTATATGAAACAACAACAACAACAACAAAAAGCCCACATCCTATTTAGGTTTTGAACTCTTAGGTCTTATAAAACGCAAAGCGTTGTCTCCACCCTTCCTGCTCCTAGAAAAGTTCTCCGCTGTTTCCAATCTCTACCACCCAGATGGGGAACTTCTTTCTGAGGTTTGCTGTGTCTCTGAACTGTACCTGAAAACCATGGCTCAGGTTCTTTCTTTTCTTGGATCCCTTTATTTAAAGGAAGTTCCATTATTCTTTCCCCTACTATAGCCCTGGTACTTCACTCAAGTGGGTAGAGGTTAAGAATACCTCTGGGTTTCTGTAAAAACTCTATTTCTACCCAACTCGGAGGATTTTTTTCCTACACTCAAGGGGGAGTAAAAAAGCTGTGGGGAGCCTGGGCGCGGTGGCTCACGCCTGTAATCCCAGCACTTTGGAAGGCCAAGGCGGGCGGATCACGAGGTCAGGAGACTGAGACCATCTCGGCTAACACGGTGAAACCCCATCTTTACCAAAAATACAAAAAAATTAGCCGGGAGTGGTGGCCGGTGCCTGTAGTCCTGGCTACTTGGGAGGCTGAGGCAGGAGAATGGTGTGAACGTGGGAGGCGGAGCTTGCAGTGAGCCGAGATCGCGCCAATGCACCCAGGCTGGGCGACAGTGCGAGACTCCGTCTCAAAAAAAAAAAAAAAAAAAAAAAAGAAAAGAAAAGAGATGTGGGGAAAGTGGTTCTGACTTACTCAGAAATTGTCTAGGAGTTGGAACTGGGCAGAAGAAAATCCTGGTGTCCTTACAATGGAGCGCTGGGCATTGTCTAACACAGTGTTTTCAAATTGGAAGAATTTGGCAATATTGGAGACATTGTTGATTGTCACCACTGGGTGGGATGGCCTGCCACTGGCCTCTAGTAGGCAGAGGCCAGGGATGCTCCTAACCATCCCACAATGGACAGGACAACCCACAAAACAAAGAATTTTCTGGCTCCAAATGTCAATGGCGCCAAGGTTGAAAATCCATGGTCTGGTGAACCTTCTGGGGATTATATGATTCTATAGTGGTGTGTAATTTTCAATTGCCTTTCTATGGACTAGTCTACTTTATATCACTTTAGGGGAAGAAGTTAACTTGTTAAAAACTGTTAGTAAAGCAAATGATTCTTGTTTATAGCAATGCAAATGAATTTTGACAACTAGAGACTGTTGATTTCTACCTGTAGAAAACACGACCTAAATATTTTATTTTATTGCCATCTGAGACATTATTCAGTTCCGTATCTATTAGCGGATTTATTTCAGCATTTTTATTTGATATATATATAACTGGTTTTAACCACTTTAGTGATTTCCTCACTAATGAATGGGTTGAATACAATCTTTGACACATGTTAATTTTATATTGGCCCAAGAGTCATGTTTTTAATCTTTTAAAAATTATCTTTCAGCAACTGTCCATATCTCCTTCCAAATATTTGCTGTTGTACACTGGGATGGTCCCTTTTGATCTTACAGGTCACAAATTTTGTTGCTTTTATTTTCTTGGGATCTACACTGATAACCCTAAGTTATGGGATCTTACTGTTGGGGTTGGAGTGAGTTCAGGGGTGTAGGGAGTATTATGATGCCCCAAGAGCTCTTTTTCAAACATTACCATAACACCAATACTGATACCTTAAAATGAATAATAATTCTTTAATATTAACAAATCAGATTCCTGATGTTTCATGTATTTTTAAACAGTTAGTTTGAATCAGGATCTAAATAAGACCTATACATTGCAACTGACTGTGATGTCTTTTAAATCTATTTTAAGCTAAAGCTTCCTCCATATCTTTTTCCATATCTTCTACATATCTTTTTATTTTCCTTGCAATTGCATTGTTGGCAAAATTTGATCATTCGTAAAGTTTCTCACACTCTGAATTTTGTTGATAACATCTTTGCGCCATTGTTGCCTATGTTTGCTATAATCAGGCATTCAGTTGAGAAACTTGATTAGACTCAGGTTTGATTTTTTTTTTTTTTTTGGCCTGAACACTTCATAGGTGGTGCTGTGTACTTCCACCAAGAGTCTCAAGCAACTAGCTGTCTCTGGTTTTGTCATATTGGTAGCTGTTGAGTATCACTGCCTAGATTGATTTTTTTTTTTTTTTTTGAGATGGAGCCTTGCCCTCTTGCCCAGGTTGGAGTGCAATGGCACTATCTCGGTTCACTGCAACCTCCGCCTCCTGTATTCAAGCAATTCTCCTACCTCAGCCTCCCGAGTAGCTGGGATTACAGGCTCGCACCACCATGCCTGGCTAATTTTTTGTATCTTTTGTGGAGATGGGGTTTCACCATGTTGGCCAGGCTGGTCTTGAACTCCTGACCTCGTGATCCACCTGCCTCAGCCTCCCAAAGTGCTGGGATTACAGGCATGAACCACCGTGCCTGGCCTAGATTGATATTTTTAAATTAAGGATGTGCAGTGCATCTTTAATAGTTATCAACCTCGTTTTCCCCAGGCTTAATCTTCACCTCTCTATTGGCACATTCCATGGCTGTGGGTAGTCACCTTGCAGTGCAGTAGTAAAGGTTTCCCTGAGGAGGTGAATGCTTCTTAAGGAAATCTCAGAGTTGGGCAGGGGGAAGGGAATTCAATGCAGAGGGAACAGAAGGTGCATGGACAGAGGAATATAAATGAAGACGAGTCCATTTGTAAATTGTGAGTGAACCCAGGTGCTTGGGGAAAGAGTATTCAGGGAAGAATAGATGGGAGATAAGTTTGGGAGATAATGTAGATTGTGGCCCTAGCGTAAGAGGTTCTGTCATAAGCATTTCCAAAAGTTTTAAATTCCTGACTAGGTCAGACTTAGGTACAGTGCTCTACAAGGTTCTATGTACACATCTCTGAAAGGGCAAGAAGTCTACATAAGGGAAAACAGAAACACCCCCTGCATTACTTCATTCTGGCTACTATAACAAAGCACTACAAACTGGGTAGCTCACAAATAACAGAAATTTATTTCTCACAGTTCTGGAGGCGGGGAAATCCAAGATCAATGTGCCAGCAGATTTAGTGTCTAGTGAAGGCCTGTTTCCTTGTTCACAGATGATTCCTTCTCTCTGTGTCCTCACAAGTGGAAGAGCAAACAAGCTCCCTCAGGCCTCTTTTATAAGGGCACTAATCCCATGCATGAGGACTCCACCCTCCTGACCTAATCACTTCCCTCCTGATACCATCACATTGTTGAACAGGTTTCAACATAAGCATTTTGGGGAGACACAAAAGTGCAGACCATGCACCACCAGTCCCTCCTCCTGCACCATACCACTGTCCTCATAGTGTGCTTCTTTCCTTCCTGGGGAATGAATTGATGAGCTTCAGGGCATGAAATGAAACATCCAAGTAGAAATCAAATCCAACATCGCTCTTTTCAAAGTCTTTGCTACTTCTGCTGAGAGAATAATCAAGAGCCTTCAGACCCCTCACCTTTATTGTGGGATGGAGAGAAGGAGAAATCAGGCATGCATCCATTATATTATTTTTCTTGTCATTTTAAATTACTAGGTGGCAGTTTTGAAATACTGTACATGGCTGAATATGGCCTGAAGTAAATACCATGTCTGATGCTGGCAGACAATAGATTTCCACAAGCCTGAAGCATGCAATTTTTAAAGCTCTATTTTTCTCCTTCTCTTTCTTGAGGTGGAGGGTATGTTTTTTTCACATAAAAATAATAAATTTTAAGAATATAAAAATATACATAAAATCCCATCTACATTGAGGGCTTTTGATTTAATCTTCCTTTTTTTCCCTTTTGACTTCATTTCCATCACTCTTTTTGGTTTTTCTATCCCATCTCGCACCCTAATGATTACTATTTTTATGTCCTTTGATGGTTCTATTTCCACATTTGTCTTTCTTAAAATGCAGCTTATTTAGTGTTGGAAAAGGGATATCTCCATTCTTCAACATTTCTTTTTCTGGATATCAGGACCCCTAATTCCTGTTTCACATGTAGATTTAGGAAGAGATGATGTACAAAACAAAGATGACTTGATTTTGGTTTATCTGCAGCCTTATTCACAGACTCAGTACTACCCCTGGGCGCAGAAGTACCTATGTGTTTTTTTTCTTACATATTTTGCTAAAGTTTCTGATTGGAGTATTTTTCAGTTATTCAATCACATTAATTACAAACTTACCATGGATCAAGCATTGGGAATACATAGTAGACCAAGAGAAATAAGTTCCCTGAATCATGAAAATAAAATTCCCATATCTGAAGTCAAATTTGCCACCTTTCTCTTTCTGGTATCTCTTATTTCTCTCAGTCACGAAATTATTCTTTTAATCAGAAACCAGGTGCTAAACCTTATCTCCTTTCTCTCCTTTGGCATCTTCCTAAATTGTCAGTAAACAATTTCTGCCAACTCCTGCAACAATTTATTTTATTTTCACTCTTCTTTTCCATTCTCACTGCAGCCCCTGAGGTCTGGATCTGTATAGCTTTATCTCAACTCTGGCCAAAACTTCTTTATTGATTATTCTTTCCCTTCTCTTCAATGCTTTCTGAACTTCACATTAATTTTCCAATTGTATTGGTTTAGGTAGGTCAATTTTCTCCTTCAAACATCTACAGTTACTACTGCCTAACTTAAAGCAGCATTTCCCAAAGTAGGTTCCAAAAAATGTGGTAATTGCCTTCGACCAAAAGAAAGGTTTTTAAAGTTTGAAAACGCTAGGGTAAACAAAGTAAAACAAATTAACTCTGGGGATAGTAGTTTTCATAAAGGATTCCTGAAAGCCTTGGATGTTGTCGAGGAGATGTCCAATGTGGTGGTTCCCATTCTCATTTGGCCGTGAACACCCCCCTCTCCACCCTGACAGTTTTTTTTCTTCCACAGTAAGTCCCATGGGATCAGTTCTATCAGGCATCAGTGTGGGAGATACTGGTCTGTGGTACAAATTCTAAATTCCCTGATGCCTGTAATCCCAGCATTTTGGGAGACCAAGGCAGGCAGATCACCTAAGGTCAGGAGTTTGAGACCAGCCTGGCCAACATGGCGAAACCCCGTTTCTACTAAAAATACAAAAATTAGCCAGGCGTGGTGGTTTGCACCTGTAGTCCCAGCTACTCAGGAGGCTGAGGCAGGAGAATCGCTTGAACCCAGGAGGTGGAGGTTGTAGTGAGCCGAGACTGCGCCACTGCACTACAGCCTGGGCAACACAGAGGGGTGTTAGAATGTAAACTAGAATGTAACTAGAAGTAGTTATAGTATAACTATAGTTAACTATAACTATAACTAGAAATAGTTATTCAGGGGGCATACAGGACCTTTGGAGAAGGTCGAAGTTCCTTTAATAGAGGATGGGGGCAGAATTTAGAAAATGTAATTTATACTGTTATTTGATCATGTTGCATTCCCCCAGGCTGGCATGGTGTAGAGAAGAGTGGAGTGCTCCTGGCTCTCTCATTTGTCTTCAGCTCTAAGCAGGGAACAGGAGATGGTGGCCTCTTCAGCCCTTTTTGCAGCCAGCTACTGCTTGTGCCAGTGGTATCTGATGCCTGGTGCAGGAAAGAGCCCCAAACACCCACTTCCACAAAGTAGCTTAAAGACTTTTTTGCCTTGTATTTGACTCAGATAGCTTTTGTATTTGTCTGCTCAGGCTGCCACAACAAAATACCATACGCTAGGTAGCTTAAACAACAGAAACTTATTTTCTCATAGTTTCAGGGTGCTAGAAGTGTGAGATCAGGTTTCTAGCATGGTCCAATTCTGGTGAGGCTCTCTTCCTGACCTGTTGATGGCCACCTTCTTGCTGTGTCCTCATCTGACCTTTCCTTGTTGTATGTATGCACCTTGAGAGAAAGAGAGAGAGAGAGAGAGAGACAGAGACAGAGAGAGACAGAGGCAGAGAGAGAGAGAGAGATCTCTTCCTCTTCTTATGAGGCCATTACTCCCAAAATGAGGGCCCAGCCCTCATAACCTCACTTCCCAAAGGCCCCAATTCCAAATACCCTCCCATTGTGGTTAGGGCTTCACCATATGAGTTTAGGTTGGGGGAAACAATTCAATCTACAGCAGTATTGAATGTTAGCCTTAACCAGTTTTAAAAAAGCAGAAGGAAGATTTAGAAATAGGACTCATTGAAATGGTACTAATTTAAAGAAATTCTTCTTTTTCCTAGAATCTCAAGTGGAGTAGAATTTCTTGCCAACAGAGGCGTCTGTCAGCTTATGAGCCTCCTCTTGGGCCGTGTGTGTGTGTGTGTGTGTGTGTGTGTGTGTGTGTGTGTGTTTCCACTTTAAATCCACCTCACCTATTCTTTTCAGAGCTCATCCTTCATTCTCAGGATTTAAAACCGAAACTTCTTCTTGTTCTTTTACTTTGTTTAGATTGCACAAAGGGGTGTGAGAATGTAACGTTTGGGGTTGGCTTGTGAGAGCAGTAGGGAAAACAGTTAAACATTAAAGGGGAAGGAATCCACTCACAGAAGAAAATCACAACCCTGGGAGAACTACACTCAGAGGGCCAAATGGCTTTCTCTCACTGCTGGCTAATTTCTTGTGAATTAGGGGAAGTGCCAAGAAACATGAGGATTCAGAGCCCTCTGCCAGGATCTGGGTATTTCTTGCCTCTTAACATCTGTCTTATTTAGGCCTCACTATAAATTTGATGGGATTTCTTCCTGAACTAATCACAGAACCTCGTAGGGCAGCAGACGCCATTTCTTGACTCTGTGGCTTTATACAGGAAAATGAATTTAATGAGTCCTTGCCTGTTCATTCCAGTGCATAGTTTACAGTTCCCTGGTCCCTATTCTGGTCTGAACACTGGGCTGTGATGCGCACAGAAGAGTGGCTTACCTTTATTATTTTCAACAGATAACGATTAAGCTTTGGACGCCAGGCAATGGTAGGGGGTGGGGATAAGGCTGTGAGCAAAATGGAGAAAAATTCCTGCTCTCATGGAGCACATATTCTTGTGCTTTGTATATTTGGCATCTTTTTCACATGATGGTTGTACTCTCACATTGAACACTTCCTTGTTTAATTGGAGCGTCAGCTCTATGTGGAGATGGTAAGCACTTTAAAGAAAAGGATTCTAGGCTGGGCGCAGTGGCTCATGCCTGTAATCCCAGCACTTTGGGAGGTCAAGATGGGTGGATCACCTGAGGTCAGCAGTTCGAGACCAGCCTGGCCAACATGGCGAAACCCCGTCTCCACTAAAACCACAAAAATTAGCCAGGCGTGGTGGCAAGTGCCTGTAGTTCCAGCTACTTGGGAGACTGAGGCAGGGGAATCACTTGAACCCAGGAGGCAGAAGTTGCAGTGAGCCAAGATTGTACCTCTGCACTCCAGCCTGGGTGACAGAGTGAGTCTTTTTTACTATATCATTGTGCCTGAAACATCATAGGTATTTAATATGCATTTGCTCAGTGAATTAACGTATGGACAACCTTCCACAGGGTATTTTTTTATTGGTACCTCTTCCCCTTATATAGTAAGCAAAAACTTTCATACACGAGAGACTCCTCATCTGCCTAGAATGATTTAAACTAGTAATAAAGTTTGTTGCCCATCCATAGGCCTTTAATAAAATATTTCTGACCTGCTATGAATCAGCAAAGCTGAGGACTCCCATGCTCATAACACTGTCATCCCCACCACTGTTAACTTTCCCTGTACCATGGGATCACAGCCCTATATCCAGTGGGGTACTGGAGCCAGCTCATACCAGCTTGCAATATCTGATTGAGAAATTTTCAAAAAGTTTGCAAGCCAGTTGGCATCACATCAGTAGGTTGAAATTAACTACGATGGGTAGTATTTACACTGTGGAAATTGGTAACTGTTACATATCAGTAGTCTCCCTCCGTGCCTCCAGCCAACTGTTAAAATTTATGAACACACCATTGGACTAGATGGAAAGATAGGGTACAGGATCATATCACTAAGCCACTAACTGAGTCCTGAACTACCTTCTAGAGTCCTTGCCAAAGAAATTTCAAATGTCTTGTGGTTTAAGTTCTTGCTACTCAAAAATGTGGTTGGTGAATCAGCAGTGTTGGCATCACCAGACAGCCTGTTAAAAATGCAGTCTCAGGCCTTGCTCCAGACTTGCAGAGTCAAGAGTCTGTATTTTAACAAGATCCCCAGTTAATTTGTAAAACACTAACATTTGAGAGCACAGGTTCACGTCAATAGTTCTCAAACTTAAGTGGGTATCAGAGTCAGCTGAATTGCTTGTTTAAACCCAGATTGCTGGGTGAGTTTTCCATTCAGTAGATCTAGGAGAAGGACCTTGAGAGGTTATATTTTTAACAAATTTCAGGCTGCTTCTGCCGCTGGCACTGCTGGTGTTGTGGGACTTTTCCTTGGTTCAGCTAAAGACGGGGTCCTTGTCACACGGCCACGGAAATTTAGGCTCGCAGACAATTTGAAGAGTGAGAAAAGTGGGATTTATTGGGCAAAAAAGGAACAAAAAGGGAAACAGATTCTTAGCAAAGTGAGAGAGTGTGCTTCCTGCCCGCTGGGCTTTCTGCCTCACAGTTTGAATCCCAGGTTCCACCCAGGAAGAGGGCCGAGGCTCCTCCAGGCTGCAAAGGGTGTGAATTTCTGTGGCTCCTCCCCCGTGCGCATTCCTCCCAGTGCGCAGGCGGGTTGGAGTTCTGCCAGGAAGCC